>NC_000003.12:67888787-68191818 GCF_000001405.40 Homo sapiens | reverse complement strand
ACCCACAGTGAAAATCAGGTGCCCATTATCATGTGGCTTATGGGCTTGTATTTGTACAAAATCTATATGAAACCAAGTTTACCTAATATGTTGTAACCTTAAGATGAGCAGTGGCCCTTTTTTAAAAAAGTCTTATCTCCCTTTCTTTGATTCTACTCTCTTTGCTGTGATAAAAAGTTTGTGGCAACTATAGAGTTAGGATGAGCTGATGAACACAGTCCAATTTGACCTATCCATAAGCATTTCCTCAAATATTTCAATTCATCAATCCTACAGGTATGTACTAAAGCCAAACCAATAGAGACATTAAGAAAGACAAAAATAATTGGATACACTTTTAGCTTAGCATCGTTAGTGTGCCACAAGCTTCAGCTTCAGTTTACCTATGAAGATAATTAGCTTCACTCTGACCATAGTTACGTTTTTCCATTGCTTGAACCGGCTTAATAAATACCGCCATGCTGAATAGTCCTACATGTCCTGCAGGAAATGTCTTTAAGCTCTAAATTAATATGTACTACTCTGAGCACACACTCAACTTTTTGCCTTGTTGTTGAGGATTCCATATGAGGAATATCAGAAGAAAAAGTACCACAAAGAAAAAATATATATTATAATGTGTTTACCACAGAATTTAAAAATGGAAAGACAGAACAAAACAAAAACAAGATAGACACACAATAGACTCATCATAAAACAGCATTCACCTCTCCCATCTCTTCACATGGGGATTTCATGTAGGGTTTATTTTAAGTCCCCACCCAAGACCAGCTGAATCCAAATATCTGAATTTCACAAGCTACGCAGATGAGTCTTAAGGTTTTTAAAACATAAGTAGTACAATGTAGGCAGTATCCAAAATGACTAGGAAATCAATGTGGGGTGAGAGGTATTTGTTAAAATTGTGCCTCAGGATGGATACTTTTTTATTTAATTCATACTCTAGTCTCATTGGAAGTTCACATTACTTTGCTTGGACAAGCTCAAGATATATAGTTAATTAGGAATAAATGAAAAATTTATCTTTCCATGGTTCATAAAGATATTTTAAGAAAAAAAACTTAACAGCCCACATGGTGTATTTCCTATTCTGTTCTCACAAACTCCTCCCAAAACACATACCTTTATTTACCGCCATAAGAAACTAAGGCTATGGATCTCAAATTTAATGTGCAGCAGAATCCCATGGGCACCTGCTGAAAACACAAGTGTTCCCACTGACACAGAGCAAAAACAGGAAGACTGAGGAACTGCCTGGGATTTACATTTTACCCAGATTCCAAATGACCCTGAGGTTAATGGTCTTAAAAGCACATTGTCAGAAACAGAGCAATGAGGTGATGGACTCTAAAAGGGTACTTTTCCTACTTCAATATTTTGTATTCAGAAAACAAATAAAATGAACAATGAAAGTCAAGTTCAGATGGGTGTGTGGAACCATTTTCAAGAAACACTTAAAAATGTGTTCCCAGTGACATGTTGCTATCATCTTAAACTTATCCAGAAGTATAGCCAGGCTCCCAGCATCAGAAAGACTGCTAGGCTGTAATGAGTGAAAGCAAGATAAGCTGTGACCTAATTCATCATCTCTTTCACTACAGGGTAATGTAGACATAAAAGAAGTTTTGGTGACTGACAATGAATCCTGAAGGAAAAAAAGAATGACAAAATGTTAGAATTCGTTAGTATCTCTTTCTGATACCACTCAAGAAAGAGATCAGGCTGATTTCACATGACTGATAGCAGTTCTTTTGACAGAATTTCCCTCAAGTGAAGAAAGACAATTCATTCAACCACAGTAGCTTGATATAAATATCTATGAGGCTTGCCAGCTTCCTTTGTTCTAATTTATCCTCACCAAGCAATCTCTGTAACTGGGTCTTCAAAGTTCACTAACACACTAGGAGAAATTCCCCCATGTTGATGACTAATAATATCAATGGTGACAATAAGAATTGCAGCAGTGACAACAGCAATATTAACGGCAGCTTCTTTTGTGCCAGGCATAATGCCAGACCCTTCTCCTGCATGATCTTATTTTATATTTGAAGCAGCCTATGAGGAAGGTATAATTACTATCCTCATTTTAGAAATGAAGAAACTGAGGCTCAGAGACTTTAAATAGTTCAAATTAAATAGACAAGCTTTGATTCAGGCCATTTTTATCTGAACTGAGAACTTACCCACTATACTTCTCACCTTGCTCCCTTTCTTGACTGAGTACCAGTCATTGGCCCAGGGTGTGAACTTCTAAAGGCCCAGAGCTGGAAGTGGGAAGGTCTCAATGAGGCCATGAAATCAAGATGATGGGCAGAGCTCTGAGAGGGCAGGCATATTTGATATGTGCACAAAAGGTAGCTAAAATGGCTTGCCAACCCCAGAGCTGACATTTAAGCAGGGTGTACAGAGCCAAAAATTTTAAAAATGGAAATAAGGACAAGGACAGGGTTGAATGGTAGTAAAGATCAGTCTGAAGCAACATTTAACAAAAGTTGCTTTCTAGGGCTAGATTTCTTGTACTATAAAACAGAGGCATGTAGGTGAGTCTACTGAATGGAAACAGCCAAGGATGAAATGGAAAGTGCTGGTTATTGCACTTAATATATCAGTCTTCCTCTCTTTCAATAAGCCAGCACCTACTGAGCATCTACCATGTGCCCAGCCATGGGAATACGATGATGAACAACATTAGTCCTCACCTTCACAGAACTTCCACTCTATGATTTTACCTTCCAAAATTTTGGGTCACACTCCAAGGATTTTATTTGGTGCAAATCAGTCCCTGAGAACATAATCGTTAGTGTACCACCAATTGGAAAGTCTGACCATCTAAAACTGCTGACCAGTCTGGACCTATGAAGACACAAGCATGGTCACAAGTCGTCCCCATTCAAAGTGCACACCTGGCCTTGTATCCATGAAGGAAACAGAAAGCTCCAAAACAAACAAACAAACGAACAAAAAAACAACAAAAAACCCCCACTATTCTGGATGATAAAAATTAATCAAAAGAAGCATCACATAAAATGTTGGTCAGCATCAAAAGTCATTGTTCCCTACCATGGTTCTGTCCTTAGTGCAAAATAGCATGGAATTCAGAGTTTAAAAAAACAATTTTCCTCTCTCTCTAAGACACTTAATGACCTAATGGAAACACAAAGACTGAACTGCAAAAGCCAAGGCTGGTTCTGTAAACATAACATAGATATAAGAGATATTAGTTTCAAATTGTTATAAATACATAAAAATAAAATTAGATGCTAGTTTCTGATGGTACTCTCTCTCTCTCTCTCTCTATATATATATATATAAATATATATACACATACATTATATACATATATATATAATTTAGAGAGATACTACTTTCAAATGTCTGTACAGCAAAACATTTAGAAAGATAGCTAAGAAATAGAAAAAAACCTTTAAGACATGCAGAATAGATGCAAAGAGAAAATCATCCATTTTAAAATTCTGTATTAAAGCCAAATGACTATTTAAAATAGCAAACTTAGCAAGTGATGTGGTGGAATCAACCTTGCAAACTTATTCCTATCAATGTCCAAAAAAGTTACGCAGTATGGAATTTAGTGTTCTCTAATTTAGAATTTCCTAAACAAAATGCAAATAGCACTTAGAAATTTAATTACATTAAAATTAAAACTTCTATTCATTTCAAAAGCAAGGAAGGAAATAAACATCCTCAAGAATATGAATAGGCAATCCACAGAATAGAATATGGAACAGAGATAACAAGGTCTTATATTCAGAATATAAAATAACTTCTACAAATCTATAAGACAAAGCTAGACAACCCAATAGAAAAATAGGCAAGAAATGTAAACAGAAACTTTATTAAACAGAATATCCCAATGGCAAATAATCATGCAAACAATTGCTCAACTTCATTAGTAATTAACAAAATGCAAATTAAAGCCGCAATGCTACCATAATACTCACTAAAATGGCCAAAATTAAAAGGACTGACAGAACCAAGCACTGGCAAGAATTTAAGACCAAAAAGATGATCATACATTGCTTCTGGGATAAGTATAAGCTGTGTAATGTGTTAGAAAACTGCTTGGCATTTTCTACTAAAACTAAACACTGCTTTGCATATGATGATCCAAAATCCCACTCCCAGGTATGTGCTTAAGAGAAATGCATGACACATGCTCCCAAAACACATATAAGAAAGTTCATGGCATTGTTACTTGTAATAGCCCCAAATTGAAAACCAGTATTACAGAGGATTTCTAAAATTTGTCCTGTAATCATACTGTGCAAAGATGAGCTATATCACCCAAGATAATCAATTTCACAAACCTGCTGTTGAACAAGTGAAGCCACAATGAGTGTATCAGCCCACCATAGAAAGTTCAAAAATAGACAAAGCTAATCTCTAGAGTTAAACAGAATCATACCTTTGGCCAGGGATGAAGGTGATTAGAAGGGGCATGAGAAAGCCATCTAAGTCTGACAATGTTTTATTTCTCTATTTTTTTATGTTCACTTTGTGATAATCCATTAAGTAATACATTATATTTGTACAATTCTTTTTTTATATGCTATACTCCCCTAAACACAAAAAGATAATGAGAGGCTGCTTATAAACAGAAGGTGATGTCAAATTTTGCATGGAGGACACACGTAAAAGACAATATTCATGTTTTATTTTTTAATCCACACCAAATAATAACAGGTAAAATGAATTTACTCAGAATTCAAGGTTTCATTATTGACAAGGTACTCCTAATTTCCTGAAAGTTCAGCTTGAAACTAGGAATATAAACTTAAAGATGGGATGGATATCTAAGAAAAGCAAACTGGCTTTTTTTTTTCCCACAAACTTCACACATTCTCAAGAAACTGCTAATTACCCACAGAGATAAGAAGGACAGATGATTTTCAGAAGAATCATATGTGGGCTAGGCCCATGGTATGTTTTGAAGGGACATCTCCTAGCAAGGTGAGAAATTAAAGGCCATCCCAAAAGCTTGAGCTTCCTCAGCAGCCTGGAGCAATTCAATGCATCCTGAGCACTTACTAAAGAGCCAGGCACACACCAATGTTCGATGAATGAATTAATGAGAGGGAGTTGGGGAGGAAGGAAAGCCCAGGCAGGTTGGGTCCCTGGATAAAGGACGGTAAGTAGACAGGTAGAGATACCTACAGAAGAATCAACAATAATCTTATCTCCAGGTGGGGATGGGATAAACATTCTTCTCATATATTAATCATACAACTACAACGTGTCTGTCCCAGTACAAGAGATGAGGCATACAATGGTGAAAGAAAAGGGAAAAAAACAAAAGTCTAACTTCAGTTCTCACGTCTTAGTAAAACATAGGTTTCATTCAATGATCTATTATTACAATGAGAGAGGGGTTGTGTTATGCTTTGGAGTACAACATCACATTGGAATGCTTAAAAGAGACCTTGGGAACTCGGAGGCATTTTCAACTTACTGCTCTGGTTTCAGGCTGTTCTGGGTACTTCTGCGGAAAGGGTTAGGGAAGCACACCAGGACCTGTTTAGAAGTTATCCACTGGTTTGTAATTGCCCTGGCAACAAAACTCAAAATCCTCATGATTAATAACAATTATTCCCAAAGAGTAGAAATGTATTATAAAAGACCCTCAAGATGATATTCGCTAGCACACCAAAGGGGGAGCTAAGGCAATAAACATCTCTGAGTTGCACAATGAGAAAGTTGTTTTTCCAGCTTTCTTTCCAAGGAGAAAGCCTCATGTTGCTAGTAGGGTGGAGGACTTTACCTCCTAACACTGCTCACCTCCCTTTTTGACAAGGAGCAGGCTTCATGCTCAGCATCTTCTAATGAAATCAACATTGAGTTAGGATTTATCAAATTCATTTTGTTTCCTATTTATTTATTTATTTATTTATTTATTTTATTTGAGACAGGTTCTCACTGTTACCCAGGTTGAAGTGCAATCATGGTTCACTGTAGCCTTGACTTCCTGGGTTCAAGGGATCCTCCCATCTCAGCCTCCTGAGTAGCTGGGACTAAAGGCAGGCGCCACCACACCTGGCTAGTTTTTGTATTTTTTCTGTAGAGATGAAGTTTCTTTATGTTGCCCAGGCTGGTCTGGAACTCCTGAGCTCAAGTGAGCTATCTGGCTTGGCCTCCCAAAGTGCTGGGATTACAGGTGTGAGCCACTGCACCTGTAATAGTTCATTTTAAAGGTGTCTTTCTACTAAGGTTAGATGATACTGTGGTTGCATTTACATAGCGATACAAAGTTTTATTTTAAAATAAATTCATTTAAGACAAGAAGTGAATAGATTTAATGCAACAAATTAAGGAAATAACAGTACAAGCTGTACTCTGGTGGAGCAAACCATGAAAATGTTATGAAAATACCAAAGACTGGAAAACACAGCCTTATACCATCCTTGAGGTTCCAGTCCCTTCTACCTCCTTACATACCACAAACTTCTACTCTCTTTACCTGCCATTAAGGCTTCTGTATTTCAAGTCCATTCTTCTTTATTGATGTTGGCTCCCCAAATGTGATTTGCTCTATTTGGAAACGTCCTTTCCCTTCTCTTTCCCTTCTTACCCTCACTTTACTGGCTCCTACTCATCCTTCCAGGGTCCCTTTAAATGTCACTTCCTCAGGAATACCCTTCTTGCTGTCTCCCATGCGGACTGGTTCCTCTGGCTACACATCTCCACTTAGTGCTTGCTCAGATGTCTGTCTTCTCTGATAGCCTAGGAGTGTCATGAGAACAGAGGCTTTTAGACAATTGTCTTGGCAGAGTCCCTGACATATAGCAGGGTTAAATATTTATTGGTTTAAATTGAATGAAGAAAAACAGCATTTCAAATGAGAAATTGAATGTATACCAGTGATTGTTCAAGTGAAGGATGTAGAAAAACATCCCGGGTGTTTTTGCAGAACACACTTTCCCATGTCTCAGCCCATAGGAATCTGCTTCATCACATTGGGTTGAAGAGTGAACATTTTTAACAAGTAAAATGGTGGTCCACAGGCCACTATGAAAAATATTAAATCTATACATATGGCAGTCAACATTCTTTGGGCCTGATATCTTTCTTTCTCTAGAGCAATTTCACATGAGTGAGTAGTTAACCTTTGCTCATTTAATCAAACCTAATATTCGTTCAACACCTGTTTTTGTTAGCAAATGGGAGCTTTCGTGTTCCCAGTATATATTGGAGCTAATCAATAGTCCTGCTTTAGGGATAGAAGAGACATGCCAAAAATTACCTATGTAGCATTTCAGACTGTTTTCAGGGGCAAAAAATAATAATTTTTATCCTTATAGAGAATAAAAATCAGCTCTCTTTCTTTTGCTTTCACACACACACATGCACACAGTGCTTATCATCATAAATGTAGAAAATATGTTGGTATACCTTCTAGCCACAGTGTTTCCAAATACAGACTCTAATAATTTTCTAAGCCTCCAGCCCTGCAAGGTTTATCAAACCTGATATTTGCTTTCAGGTAGGACTTAGAATGCTTTGAAATCGCTGTCATGTAACTTGTGGAGGTGATCTATTTCATTACCGTATCCATCCTCTGTCAATCATCTGAATTATCATAAATGTTAGTGTCAACCTAATCATTTGATTCCTTATTCACGGAAATTCGCAGAAAATTTCAGGGAGAATACAGCATGTATGACACTTTTTGATGTCCAGTTCCTCTCTGAGGCATATGAATGTAAAGTGTCATATCGCTATCCTGGAGAAAAGCAGCTTAATGTTAGTGTTTGGATAAGACATTTGAGTTTTTTGTTCAGGTTACAGATTAGGAACAATTACATTAAATCGTAATGAAGGGGAATATCTTTTTGAATATATTAGCTTTGCATTACAGAAGACCAAGGTTAGCTTACATCCCTCACTGTGGTTATCTCTGAAGCACATGGCATTATATAGTACACATCTGTGCATTCATTTTCCCTGACATGTTAACTACAGTTACTACTGTTTTGTATGCATCAATTCCCATTCTCAGAGCAAAATGAGAACTATAGAACTGACTCTGATCTAAATAGAATGTGCTTAGGAGCAAATATGCTATCACAATCCCTTGTATTACCAAAGTGGGTTGGAAATCACCACACAGGTAATGAAAGAATGAACAGTCCCTAAATTCAAAAGTGATGCATGAACAAAATTCTGTGTTTCAATTAGACTGCATAAGCTGTGAAATGATCCAATAACCTTCTCACTGTTGAGGGCAGCTAATAAATAATAAGAAAAGATATACAGGATCCAACAGTCTTCTGATCATAATAGTTCCAATCAAAGTCTTTATTGCATCAAAAATATACTTTGTCTTAAAATGGGAACTTCATCAAGCTATTAATATGCACCTCACTTTTATACCTCACTAAAGACAATGTATCTGAAACATAATAAGTTGCTAGAGTGTTCCAATGTATGACAATGCATGACTTCTGGTTCCTTATTTCCTGATGTTATGACATTGCTGTCCAATCATGGGGCATAATGAGGAGCTCGAGATCTTATATTATCACTTAATGAAGTCCAATTAAGAATCATTAACCTTTGCTCCACTTCTCATACTTGATGCACAATAAGTGGTCCTGGGATAACTTTAAAAGGTGAACTTGGGCAAAACTAGTCAATGGATCTTTTGAAGAATTAAAGCCCTCTCAAACCACCATTTCACCCAAAGCGATGGGGCAGGTATACTATTGATTGATGATAAAACTACACACATACTGCTCAGGTCAAATGTATTGAGTAGTGCAAGAATTTTCTGATAGGATAATTATTTGGGAGGGTTGGTTGAACCAACTGAAATAAAGATACATGACTTTGATGATTTGTTTCAACATTTTATCTATGAACCTCTGGAACCTAGACACAAATTATATTTCTTTTTATTATATTTTCAATGCAATCCAACCTATTCTTATCACCACCATATGCATAAAATATAAACAGCATCCATAAAACATGACATTATCACTAAATAATAAACTAAATTGGCTGAAATTGCTAATAAATGTGTATAGTGCATAAAGCAATATGTTTTACGTAGGGTTTACAAGAATGCAAGGTTTATATACAGAAATGACTTAAGGGCTGTAAGACATTATGTTAAAACTCACATTAAAATGTGTGTATGTTGACAAGTACTTTAAAAGAGTGTTGTGCATTAAGTACTTTAAAGGGGTGTTGGATGTTGTTCATGTTAATGTGATAAATTCAGTATTCTATAGGATCAGATAAATTAGTAATAACAACAGTACCAATTGAAGCAATAACCTGGTACAATAATTTCTAATTCCCATTTCTGATATTTGGATGTTAAACTGTTAGTAGTTTTGAATGAAATACTACTGCATTGTATGTAAATGTCACCACCCCAGAAGCTGACGGCACCATGCATCACACTATACATCTCATTCATTTGTATCTCCATACTGAGCACAATACACAGTACAACACTGGGGCTTTTACAAAGCTTGCTGAATAAAGAAATGAATAGTATCCAATTTTCCACCTGGTAATGTAATACTGAGAAATCCATTAAGGGTTACACAGTTTGTCTGTCTGTCTGTTTATGAATTCATTTATGTTTGAGACAGGGTCTCACTCTGTCACCCAGGCTGGAGTACAGTGGTTTAATCATGACTCACTGCAGCCTTGACCTCCTGGGATCAAGTGATCTTCTTGCCTCAGCCTCACCAGTAGCTAAGACTGCAAGCGTGTGCCACCCACACCCAGCTAATGTTTTTTGCTTTGTGTAGAGATGGGGTCTCACTATGTTGCCCAGGCTGGTCTCAAGCTCCCCAGCTCAAGTGATCCTCCTGCCTTAGCCTCCCGAAGTGCTGGGATTACAGGCATGAACTACCATCCCCAGCCTGTAAACTGTATTTATCATATAGTTTAAAAGTAAGGAATGACATCCAGATCTTTGAGACAATGTTTTAGCTCTGCTCTGCTTCTTTCATAACTTAGATTTCACCCTATTTTACAGATGAAAGTGTTGCAACCTCCACTCTTTTCCTTTCGATGTGTGCTGAGAGAGCCCACAACAGATGTCTAAGCCATTTCCAGTCATCTCCATTAGGAGTCTAGTATTCTGGGAACTTGTCTTGATCAATAGTTTCTAACATTTTTGTATCTAAGACATACTTTAGATAATCAGAATATTTGGAACCACATATGAAGGGAATTTTTAAAAGATAAATCTAAACAGTGCATAAAAAATAATAATTACCCTATTAGCAACATTATCAGTATAACAGTCTCTCATAACAGCTAACTCACCACTGGTTACCCTGAATTTACTTCATAGTTACTGAGTACCTCCAACATCAGTTATTAGACCAAAACTATATTCACTGGAACAGAAAAATTTACTGCCTTCACTTACATAATTCTAAGGAAGTTTTTTTTTTTTTTTTTGTATGTTCTAGTCAGTGCACCATCTTTCTCTGGAGTAAGGTATATTATTTACCTACTGTTGCATAACAAATTACTCTAAATTTCAGCAGCTTAAAACAAGACACAGTTTCTACAGATCAGGAGTTGGGGCACAATTTGGCTGGGTCCCCACTAGCCAGCCCCACCTGACTGAGTCTCTCACCAGGCTGCAATCAAGATGACAGCAACAGTTATGGTCTCATCTCAAAGCTTAACTGGAGAAGGATCTACTCACTCATGTGCTTGTTGGCAGGGTTCAGTTCCTTGTAGTTTGTTGGACCAAGGGCCCAAGGTTTTTGCTGACCGTTGGCCAAAGGTGGCCTTCTCGTCCGTACTTTGTGTGTTTATGCAGCATTGCAGCTTGTTTCATGAAAACCAGCTAGGCTAGAGAAGGGAAGACCAAGAGTGCCAGCAAAATGGAAGTCACCACCTTTTATAACCCAATCTCAGAAGGCACATCACTTCGTTTTTGCTGTATTCTGTGGTTGTTTTTTCCAGAATAAAGTCACTAGGCCTAGCCCACACAGAGAGAGAGGGGATACAGAAGGGCATGAAAACTAGGAGGAGAGGATCATCAGGGGTCGTATTAGAAGCTGCCTACCACATAGGTGATGTTGCTATTCTGGTGACCACACACATAAAGGTCTGCAGAGGCCAGGGAAGAATTGTAAATGACTGAAACATGTCAGTTGCCAAGAAAAATAAGGGGTTGTAGGGACTGGGGCAAACTGGGAAGTATCTATCTTCTCTAGAAGGGGCAGACACTACTCACCTCCTACTGACTTTTGTCAACTGGCTCATTTTTCAAAAGAAACCATAAATCCCAGTATTTACGATAAATCATCTGAACTTCTTATGTTGGGACAATATGGGCTAATCAAACAAAAATTGCCTGCAGGTGTGATGCTGTTCTCGTTCAGTATCCTTTACCTCTTGTTACTAGCTATCTAGCTCCTCTGCCATTTCAGCTCACAATCTGAAAACCCAGCTCAACATGAGTCTGACATATATAAATAAAATAGGCTGGATGTGGTGGCTCACACTTGTAATCCTAGCACTCTGAGTGGCCAAAGCAGGTGGATAACCTGAGGTCGGGAGTTCGAGACCAGCCTGGCCAACATAGTGAAAGACTGTCTCTACTAAAAATACAAAAAAAAAAAATTAGCCAGGTGTGGTGGTGCACACCTGTAGTCCCAGCTACATTACATGGGAGGCTAAGGCAGAAGAATTACTTGAAACTGGGAGGTGGAGGTTGCAGTGAGCCCAGATGGTGCCACTGCACTCCAGCCTGGGTGACAGAGTAAGACTCCCTCTCAAATAATAATAATAATAATAATAATAATAATAAAATTATGTGTTATAGGCAGGAAAGAATCTTATGCAAGCGTCAAAATTTGGTGTACACTAGCTGATTTGTTCATAGAGTTTAAGCATAATTAATAATTTATTTGCATTCACACAAGCATACATACAAATAAATGGGGTCAGGTAAATGAAGGACAGATGGGAAGACTGTCCTCCCAAATTTCAGGAGCATGCATTCAAGCAAAGTCACCTTATTTGACAATCCAAAAGAAACTATTTTCTACTTCACATATCTATTATCCAATTCATTTATTTGATAATTAATAAGTGAAAAATTCTAGCATTGTGCGGTTACATCAAGAAGAGGCAGATTAGCTGATGTTACTTTGGAAACTTTACAAAGAAAACATTTTCAGTGTTCTCCAGGGCTGGAGTTGCAAACAAGAGGTTCTTTAATAAATCACTAGATAAGTGCTTGTTATTACATTATTATTTAATAATTTAGAAACACAAGGAGTACAGAAAAAGAAAACCCCTAGTTCAATTTTTACAACTTCATTTTCTTTAAAAATGCAGACCAATGTTAAAAGGAGGAAAAATGGAAAGATGAACAAAATGAGCAGGAACAACATGATCCAAATTTTAAAATCCTAATGAAGATCAGAATTCCACTTTCATTCTGTAATACTTGTGCACTTAAATTAAGTTCTGAAGGTCATTTAGTAATGTAGGGTTGTAAAGCCTAAAAATATTTTCTACATACAGAGGAAAGAAATCAAAGAAATATGCTGATCTGGTATATGTCCTAGAATTTTAAATTTTAAAAATGCCAAAAGTAGGGTTTCTGTTCAGGGAAGATGAGTTGACATAAAATATAGTTTTCCTGGAAGTAAGTTATAGCCTAATGAAATTATGAATGATGATGTGTGTTTCAAAATAGCAATTATGTAGTCTTGAGTGGTTCTGCTATAAAAAACTGCTCTTATTCATCAAATAAGTGTGTTCTTAGCACCACCTTCTCTCCTCCTTGATATGTTAACAGTAAAAACATACAATATCTCCGAGTTTATCACAGAATTCACTGGCTACAAAATAGCCCCAGACGTGTGTTTGGGGATTTCCCCTTTGATCCATAAGGAAGCTCAGAGAGATACTACTGACTTTCTTCAAGCCATTCTCCACCACCAGCTGGAAGCACCTCCTTAAACAGTGTACCTCAGTACATCATCTCTTCTAGGGATCTCACTATTCTCTAAATTGAATCTAAACTCCTTACGTGGATAACAAAGCTTTGTGCTACTTTGTCCATTTCTCCTTTTCCCAGCTAATCTCATTATTCTACCTTACCTTCCTTGTGGTCCAGCCAAGTAGCTGTCTTTCAGATCCTTGTGCATGCCAAGGTATTTCCGCCCCAGGGCATATATATCTGTTTCTCTTTTAGCCTGGAGTATCTTTCCTGAGCTTTTTTTCCAGCCTGTTTGTCAGTTAGGTAACAGTTTTATACATACCTCCTCCTGGATGCCTTCCCTGAACACTCTGAATTAATTCTCATACCCATCTCTCCATTATTAATTTCCATCTTAACCCCTTGCTTGCTTCATTCCTAACACCTATAAAAAATCATGATCATTTTACTTCTTTGATAACGTTTTTGGTCTGTTCCTTCCACTACAATATTAAATAATAAGAAAGGGATTATGCCAACCCTGCTCACTATTATTTCCAGCATTGAATCAGCATGTCTGGCACAGTGGAAGCAACTGATAAGTATGTGTTGTATGAGTGAATGAATGAGGAAATAGATGACAACTTGAAAATAAATTTTGGTTAGGCCATCACACAACATAATAAATAGTTACCATATACCAGGTATGGTGCTTTGCAGGGTCATGTATTTTTTTTTGGGGAGGGGGGGATGGAGTCTCGCACTCTCACCCAGGCTGGAGTGCAGTGGTGCCATCTTGGCTCACTGCAAGCTCCGCCTCCCAGGTTCACGCCATTCTCCTGCCTCAGCCTCCCGAGTAGCTGGGACTATAGGCGCCCACCACCACACCAGGCTAATTTTTTGTATTTTTAGTAGAGATGGGGTTTCACCATGTTAGCCAGGATGGTCTCGATCTGCTGACCTTGTGATCCGCCCACCTCGGACTCCCAAAGGGCTGGGATTACAGGCGTGAGCCACCATGCCCAGCCCAGGGTTAAGTTTTTAATTTGGTGACCATCCTCTGAAATATCTACTATTATTACCATCAGAGTTTAGAAGGAGAAACTGAAGGTCATGGGTATTAAGTCATTTGCCCAAAGACAAGACAGATTATAAAAGGAGTAGGAAGAGCATTTGAACTTGGTTCTGTCTTCCTCAAGACTTCCAGCTTGTAACTATTATATTCACCATTAATAGTTAAGCCCTTGTGGAAAATTAGGAGTTTCTAATTATTTAGATTGGGACTACACTTTAGATAACTGCCTAAAACTACATTTAAACTTGTACCCAAGATGACAATATATCTAATCACAAATTGAATATAATAGGAGCTTACTCCTATTATATTCCTGATTACTACAGCTAGAAGTCTCAGGATGACAAGTTTCTCTCTTCAAAAGAGCAAGGTAGTAGTAAAGAAGCTGAAGAAGCACAGAATTCCAGGACTTTTTTCATTAGTGAGGTTTTCTCTTTAGCCATGAGCTCTGTAGCTACATCTAAGAGAAGTCAAGTGTGAATCTCAGTTTTCTAAAAGAGCTGGTTCTAAACTTCTCTGATCATTAATGTTGATTTACCAATTAAATATCCCAGAGCAAATTCGAGGGAGCATGCCTTGGTGTCTACTTGGCAGAAATATGTGGGCAACTAAGGAATTCTCTGCGTCCTACTTTGATGAAATATGTTACCAATTCTGCCTAATTAGAATTACTCCTTTTCTCTTTTAATTGCATCCCTATGCATATTTGTCCTCATTCATAGAATATAAACAGTTGACACCATCTGAGTTTCTGTAATATTTACAGTTTCAGTAAGGTCTATGAAGACTTCGGTGAAAATACCAGTTCTCGATGATCACCAGTCTATAAAACATCTTAATTCAAATGCCACCAAGAACCAGATGAGCAATATAGTGAATCATAAACAACTGAATCAATTTCCCCCCACATTCCTCCCAGAACTAGTAAACAATCTACTCCCAGGTTGAGCTTTTGTGCTGAGTTTCATCCCAGAATACAACTTTACAATGGAGTTTTAAGCCCCAAAATTGCTGATGTAGCCTTAATTATAGCTATGCTGGTGACACCATTCTAATGAACTCTTTGCTATTTTATGTGGCCTGGGTGTCCCAGGAGGGGCATTGTCTAAACGAACAAACACATTGGTCAGGGTTTAGTGGGAATAGAGAAGTGGTAAATATGTATGTGTATGTGCATGCAACATGAATTATGCAAATTTTAATGAGTATGATATCAAAATGGTAATAGCACTTCCCACTATGGGAAGTATTTGAACTAATGCAAATCCTGTCAATTAAAAAGCTTCATCAAAATTATAGGGGAGACTAAATGATCTGTAAACTTTATTATTTACTTGGTGGAGTCTCACTCTGTCACCCAGGCTGGAGTGCAGTGGTGCAATCATAGCTCACTGTGAGGTGGAACTCCTGGGCTCAAGCAATCCTCTTGCCTCAGCCTCCCAAATAGCTAGGACCACAGGGACTTGACACCATGCTCACCTAGTTTTTTCAATTTTTGTAGAAACAGGGTCTCAATATGTTGCCCAGGCTTGTCTCAAACTCCTGGCCTCAAACAATTCTCCCACCTTGACCTCCCAATGTGCTGGAATTGTAGGCATGAGCCATGGCATCCTGCCTGTAAACTGTATTTATATTCATGTATTAGTCCATTTTCATGCTGCTGATAAAGACGTACCTGAGACTGGGAAGAAAAAAAGGTTCAATGAATGTACAGTTCCACATGGCTGGGGAGGTCTCACAATCATGGCAGAAGGGAAAGAGGAGCAACTCACATCTTATGTGGATGGTGCAGGCAAAGAAAAAGCTTGTGCAGGGATACTCCCATTTTAAAATCACCAGGTCTTGTGAGACATATTCACTATCACAAGAAAAACATGGGAAAGACCTGCCCTCATGATTCAGTTACCTCCCACTGGGTCCCTCCCACCACATGTGGGAATTCAAGATGATACTCGGGTGGGGACATAGCCAAGCCATATCATTCCACCCCTGGCCCCTCCCAAATCTCATGTTCTTACATTTCAAAAACAATCATGCCTTCCCAACCATCCCCCAAAGTCTTAACTCATTTCAGAATTAACTCAAAAGCCCACGGTCCAAAGTCTTATCTGAGACAAGGCAATTCCCTTCCACCTATGAGCCTGTAAAATCAAAAACAGGTAAGTTATTTTCTAGATACAGCAGGTAAACAGGCGTTGGGTAAATACAACCATTCCAAACGGGAGAGATTGGCCGAAACAAAGAGGCTACAGGCCCCATGCAAGCACAAAGTCCAGCAGGGCAGACGAATCTTAAAGCTCCAAAATGATCTCCTTTGAATCCATGTCTCACATGCAGGTCACACTGATGCAAGAGGTGGGTTCCCATAGTCTTGGACAACTCCGCCCTTGTGGTTGTGCAGGGTACAGACTTCCTCCTGGCTGCTTTCATGGGCTAGAATTGAGTGTCTGAGGCTTTTCCAGGTATATGGTGCAAGCTGTCAGTGGATCTACCATTCTGAGGTCTAGAGGACAGTGGCCCTCTTCTCACAGCTCCACTAGGCAGCGCCCCAGTAGGGACTCTGTGTTGGGGCTCCAACCTCACATTTCCCTTCCATACTGCCCTAGCAGAGGTTCTGCATGAGGGCCCTGCGCCTGCAGCAAACTTCTGCCTGGACATCCAGGTGTTTCCATACATCTACACTAGGAAATCTAGGCAGAGGTTCCCAAACCTTCATTCTTGATTTCTGTACACTTGCAAGCTCAGCACCTTGGGGAAGCTGCCAAGGCTTGAAGCTGGCATCCCCTGAAGCCATGACCTGAGCTCTTCATTGGCCCCTTTCAGCCATGGCTGGAGCAGCTGGGCTGCAGGGCACCAAGTCCCTAGGCTGCACACAGCATGGAGAACCCTGGGTTCAGCTCACTTTTTCCTCCTAGGCCTCTGGGCCTGTGATGGGAGGGGCAGCCATGAAGACCTCTGACATACCCTGGGGAGATTTTCCCCATTGTCTTAGGCAATAACATTGGGTTCCTTGTTACTTATGCAAATTTCTGCAGCAGGCTTGAATTTCTCCTCAGAAAATGGTATTTTCTTTTCTATCGCATTGTTAGGCTACAAATTTTCCAACTTTCATGCTCTGCTTCCCTTATAAAACTGAATGCCTTTAACAACACCCAAGTCACCTCTTGAATGCTTTGCTGCTTAGAAATTTCTTCCGCCAGATACACTAAATCATCTCTCTTAAGTTCAAAGTTCCACAAATGTCTAGGGCAGGGGCAAAATGCTGCCAGTCTCTGCTAAAACATAACAAATGTCACCTTTGCTCCAGTTCCCAACAAGTTCCTCATCTCCACCGGAGACCACCTCAGCCTGGACCTTATTGTTCATGTCACTATCAGCATTTTTGTCAAAGTCATTCAACAAGTCTCCAGGAAGTTCCAAACTTTCCCACATTTTTCTGTCTTCTTGGCGGCAGGAAAGACCTGCCCCCATGATTCAGTTACCTCCCACTGGGTCCCTCCTACAACATGTGGGACTCCAAGATGAGATCTGAGCAGGGACACAGCAAAACCATATCAATTTACTTATTTCCTCTATTGCGATGGACCACAATTATCTTTTAAACCAAAATACCAACCACCATTTTTCAGTTCCATGCAAACCAATGCTTTTCAAAATATAATGTGCCTATAAAGCACAATCCAGTTAAAATTCAGATTTTGATTCTGTAGATCTGGAATGGGGCCTTTTTTGCATTTCTCACAAACTGCTAGTCCATGTCATTGTTTATTTGGAATAAAACTTCTATAAGAGGTTTTAGTTATCATTGCACTGTTTTTATAACATTCAATAACCACTTTTAAAATATGTTGGGTGATAGATTCATGTCCCAAAATATGCATTTTCTTGCAAGTTAGAAATATATATTTTTTTAATTAAATATCCTATAACCCTGTTATTTGAGCATTGTTTAAGTGGCAGTTCTACTGCTGTTTCAAAAAACAAAATGCTTCTGAAAAAAACAATGACTTTAAAAATGAAGGGAAGGGAAGGGCTCTAAAAACACTATAAAGGAAGGCAAAAAACCAACACAATACACCATGTTGCCTATTTACAAGGATCCTGAGAAATATCAGAGTTAATACTGAGAAGACAATAAGCAATATGAGAGTGAAGACTTGTCGGTCTCCATGCCCCATTCTATAAATGTACTCTCATAGGAAAATAAGTCTTGAATTCTTCAAGTTTCTTAAGTGTTTGAAGTTTTTAAAATAGGCCCTTCATATAAATATATGTCCCCTTACATATTTAAAATCTAGAATTCCAATTCGTGTATGTGTGGCTGTATCACTGACATTTCATCAGACATAATGTCAAAGTTGTGAATCACACAAATCATTCAAGAGCCACTTTGCAAATACTTGAGTGGCAGCTCACACCCAGAAATGTATGTGTTTTCTGACAAGTTAGAGTTGTAATTCATCCATTAAATATGACAGAATATATATTTATTTATATAGGGCTCTTAAGCGGCCTCTTCATGTTTCTGTGACAGTTTTTACATCTTAGTACATTTGAATAATGTACATATTTCAAGTAAACCCGCTAAGGTTAATAACAGTATCTCATGTTTCTTGTGTTTTCTTTGATTTTTTTTCAGAGTAGGAATTGGAATCATTAGTCATGGAATGTAGCTTTTTTACATAATCATTAGTCACATACTGTGGCTTATGGGATACTTTTTTGTACTGAGCTCAAGGACTATAGCTCTTTAGCTAACCCTCCATTTTTCCTTAAAAAAAATCCTCAGATTTTCCCTAAAAATAATACCCTCATGTTGCAAAAGAGCTGTGGCTTTGAGTGTATTCACAGAGTTGTGCAACCATCTCTAATATGTAATTTTAGAACATTTTACCACCCTAAAGAGAAACCCCTGTCAATTTGCATAGCAGTCACTCTCTATTCCTCCCTACTATCAGTCCCTGAAAATACTAATCCATTTATGTCTCTACAGATTTACCCATCCTGAACTTTTTTTTAATCAATAAATAATCTATTATGCGCCCTTTGGTGACTGCCTTTATTCATTCAACATAAAGTTTCCAACGCTTATTTGTGTTGTAGCATGTATCGGTATGTCATTCTTTTTTATAGCTGAGTAATATTCTCTTGTATATACAACTTATTTTATTTATTGATTCAGCAGCTGATGGACACTAGGGTTGTTTCCACTTTTTGGCTATTATGAATTATGCTGCTGTAAACATTTTCAAGGCTTTTTGGCAAATACCTAGCAGTGGAATCTCTGGATCACATGGCAGTGCTATGTTTAACATTTTGAGGAACTACTTAACTGTTCTCTAAAGTTTCTGCAACCTTTTATAATCCCACCAGCAATGTATGCATGCATGAGGGTTCCAGTTCCTCTCCATCCTTATCAACAGTTGTCACTTTTTTCTGTTTTAGCCTTTTAGGAGGTATGAAGTAGTATTGCAGTGTGGTTTTGATTTGCCTTTCCCTAAGGATTAATGATATTGAGCATTTTTCACATGCCTAGCCTCCATAATTTCTGGTGAAAAGTCATCTGTTAGTCTTATTGGGGAGCCTTTGCATGTGATAAGTCATGTTTCTCTGTTGCTCTCAAGATTCTGTCTTTGTTCTTCAACAGTTTGGCGATGACTTATATAGGTGTGAGTTTTATTGAGTTTATCTTAGTTGGAATTCGTTGAACTGCTTCAATCTGTAGATTAATATTTGTCATCAAATTTGGGAAGACTTAGACTCTTATTTCTTCAAATTTCTTTCTTCCCCTTTCTCTCTCTTCTCTCCTTCTAGACTCAATCATCTATATAATGGTACACTTGATGGGATCCTAAGGTTTAAACACACACATTTTTCTGTTCATTTTCCCTCATTTTGTTTTCTTCATTTTGCTTGAACTGGACAATCTTAATTGACCTATCTTTAAGTTTGTTAATGTTTTTCTTCTTTTGTCCCCTCCAGTAGCTACTTGATTTGCCATTGATTTTTTTTTCATTACAGTTTTTGTAATTTTCAACTCTAGAATCTGTATTTGGCTCTTTTTAGTGTCTCTTTATTGACAATTTGTATTTGGCAAGACATTGCTGTCATACTCTCCACAATTCTTTAGAGGTAATTTTAGTCCCTTAAACATATTTGTAATTGCTTAAAGTCTTTGTATAGTAAGTCCAACATACATCTTCCTGAGAGATAGCTTCTATTGATTGGCTTCTTTTCCTGTGTATGGGCCATACGTTTCTTTTTTGGTAGTGGACTTTTAAAATATATAATCTGGACACTCTGAAAATCAGATCCTCCTTCACCCCTTATTACATTTCTATTGCTGTGAAACAAATCACCAAAATTTAGTAACTTAAAACAACACAAATTTATTATTTTGAAGTTCTGCTGGTTATAAGTCTAAAATGTGTCTCACCAGGCTAATATTATCATGTCAGAAGGACTGCATTTCTTTCTGGAGGCTTTATAGAACAATCTATTTTCTTGACTTCCAGCTTCTAGAGGCTGTCTACCTTCCTTCACTCAGCCCATTCTATCTTCTAAGTCATTAATGACTATTTCAGTCTTCCTCACATTGTATCACTCCAACACTAACTCTTTTACCTCCCTCTTCCACATTTAAAGAACCTTTGTGATTACATTGGGCCCATCTAGATAATCCAAGATGATATTGCTATTTAAAATCCAGCTGCTAGCAACCTGAATTCCTCCTTGCCATGTAACGTGTAACAAAAATTTACAAGTTCTAGGGATTAACACATGGGCATCTTTTGGGGAGAGCATTATTCTGCCTATCATACTTCCCCAGGGCTTATTGTTGCTATTCGTTCTTGTTTTGGCTGTTGCTGCTTGTTGGCTTAATGAGTTTCCTGGATGAATTCTGTAAAGTATATATTTGTGTGTGTGTACGTGTGTGTGTGTGTGTGTGTGTTTCTGTGTGTGTGTAGCCTGTATCCATAGAAGTCTCTATGTCTCTGCTTAACTGGCTTAGTGATCAGGCAGTGATTGAACAAATTTTCCTTAAATGACTTGAATCAATAAATCCTCCAGCCTCTGTTGAGGGGCTGTGTGTTTATGAGCATGCCTCCAATGCTCCAGTAGTTTACAGCTCTGCCCTAGCCTTCACTTCCTACTCTTTGCTGAGCCTCAATGCCAGTCAGAGATTAAAGCTTGGGGCATTTTCGGTTTATTTCTGGGGATAAGCACAGCTCTGAACATGCATGTTGCCTTCTGGATTCCCAGAAATATATTGGAGCATTTCAAATGCCTCTATGGATATCTCATATCCCAGTTTTTCCTTTAAAATATTTTGGTCAGCCTCCTTTTGTGCCACTTGTACAGCTGCCTCAGAAAGCTGCAACATTAAACAACTGCAATTGATTATTTTTGACAAACACCCTGGGGATAGGGCTGTTTGCACAGAGAAATTTCAGTCAGATTGTATAAAAACAAGCCCTGGACTTTGGGCATTTATAGGGAGCCACTGGATAAGTAAAATAGTAAAAATTTTCTGGGAAGAGGGCTTTTGGGGAGCCCCAAAACTGTTTTTCCCTTGAGTGGCTGCTAGACTGTTGGTTTCTAACAAGTACCACGGTTGTGTGTCTATTGGTTTTCAAGGATACTGCAGATCTGAGGACAGGGTGATGAAAATAAGGCACACTAAAATTCCATAAATCTTGATCTTCTTACTGATACTTATGTTTTTTCTGAATAAGTGCTCCTTAGACTGTTATAAGCCCTTAGTTAATTTCCAGAGCTCTAGAAATTTACATTTGAGGACTTTTGCAAGTGTTCTCATTGCCTTTATGGAGAAGCAGATTTTGGGGAGTACTTATTCTATCATTCTGCAAGGGTTTCTTGAAAGGTCTTTCTAAACTGCCAATATCTCTCTACCTCTTCTGTAAGTAACAAACTTTGTCATTACAAGGACATCAAATCTTCTGGCCAGCTGCTGAAGCTGCCCAGCCATCAATCTTTTAAACATTTGCTACAAATTGAAGTTGCCTTTCTCTACCTCACCCATATACTATTCTTGTAATGCCTAGTTAAAAAGTAACTTTTCTCTAAAAATATTCACATCACCCACAGAGTGAGATACAGACTCATTGTCATGAAGTTTAGTGTGCATCAAATATTTTGAACTTTCATTTGTTATAATCTTGCCTTTAGCCATAGAATTCTACATTCATTATTTATTGCAGAGTAATGAACTTCCTTAAGACTTATGAGCTTAAAGCAATGATTATCATTTGTTAGACATAAAGTTCTATCTACTAAATAAGATGTTCAGGGATATGTGATCAAGCAGCTATTGCTGCATGGTTTCTGTGGGAAAGGAAGTAGAATTTGTTTGGTTAGGAGACTCCAGTTCAGGTTTCCTCATTTGTAATCAGATATTGACTAGGTCTAGAAGATTCACTTCCAAGGTGATTCAATCACAGAGCTGGCAGTTCGGCACTAGCTTTTATTCAAGGGCCTCAGTTCCTCTCAACTTGGGTATCATCAAAGGGTTGAATGTCATCATGACATAGCAGCCCGTACCGTCCAGAGCAAGTGATCCAAGAGAGTAAGGAAGAGGCTCCAGTGCCTTTTATGACTTAGCTTTGAAAGTTGCACATCATCACATTTGGCATATTCAATCAGTCATACAAGACCAGCCTGGATTCGGTGTGGGAAGGGCACAGATATATGGAGACATAAATCGTTTGGGAACATCCTGGAGGCTAACTACTACAGTATCTATTTTGTCTAAGACACTGTTTAGGATATAAAAACTTATAAATATGACCATTCCTTAAAGAATAGCAAATTTATTTCCAGAGGAAATGGCATGCATTCCAATAATAAAAATACTACTATAGATAGCTGATGTGTTATAAATGAAAGAAAGACAATATACTTCAAAAGTTCAGAGAAGGTAGAAATTGCATCCAGCTTCCAGAACAGTGACTTTGGGCTGAGAGGGACTCCTGGCTATAAATAAGAAATCAAAAAGCAATTGTCTATTTTTTTGTCCCAATAAATTCTTAAGATAAAAAAGAAAATATGCACATTTGAATTGCTGAGGTCAAAAGCAAATTTAGACCCCTTGTGTAGAAATAGACTTGCAACCTCATGGCAAGCAACACAACTCCAAAATAATCAGGAATAATTTTTAGCTAAACCGTTGGTACGAGAATGCATTCATCACAATTATAATTTGCTACCAGGATCTAAAGAAAAGACAGTCATTTCTGGATTTCAACTCCTAGACTGGAATAGAATTAAGAAGACATTATTTATAACCAGTCAAGGTCTACATTATGACTATTTTCAGAAATGTAAAGTTATATCACTATCAACTATTAACACTTGCTTTAAAAGCTGGCATATGTGTAAATATACAAGGGAGAATTAACGTGTGGTTACTAAATACACATTCTGACATTTCAGTGAATGATTTGCACCATCATTACTAAGTCTGTTGAACTTGATTCATAGCACATATTCAGATTTTTAAAATTCATAGAGACACATTTATTCATCAAGTTTCACTGTAATTACAGCAATTGCCACTGGGCTAGAAAGAATAGAACCCAACACAAGAGATAGTGGTTCCTGTGATTTGCTGTTGAGCAAAACAAATCAAGCCTTCTTTTTTTTTTTTTTTTGTATCTGAAAAGAAGCTTATTAGGACAAATAAACAGACCAAAAGTTTCAAAACTCATAAAATTATCAGTGGCCCCTAAAAATGGGAAATTTTGAAGTCAAAACTGATTAACAAATAGAGGACACTACCACAGGACAATGACATTGAAAGTGACTTTTACATTTAGGTGCAAAGTTGTCTTCACAGATTCTTAAAAAAACACGTGGGTTCTCCTGTTTTTAAGCTTTGTCCTGGGAATTATTTATTTATTTATTTAATATTTTGGGGGTAGGGGGACAATGTCTCTGTTGCACAGGCTGGAGTACAGTGATGCAATCTGGGCTCACTGCAGCCTCCACCCTATCTTGGAAGTAATTTAGACTTCTGTAACTTTTATTAAACTATTTCAACCTGTGTTAGGTGTTCTTTGGTACAGTGGTTCTCAAACTTGTTTGTCCCTGGTGCCCTTGTTAAAAATGCAGATTCCTTAAAAATGCAGATTCCTTACTACATAGTGTGGTTGATTGATTGAGGCCCCCAACTCTGCATTTTTAACTTTTTTCTTCTTCTGTTTTTTTTGTTTTTTTTTTGAGACGGAGTCTTGCTCTGTCACCCAGGCTGGAATGCAGTGGCTTGATCTCGGCTCACTACAAGCTCCGCCTCCCAGGTCCAGGCCATTCTCCTGCCTCAGCCTCCCGAGTAGCTGGGACTACAGGCGCACGCCGCCACGCCCGGCAATTTTTTGTATTTTTAGTAGAGACGGGGGTTTCACCATGTTAGCCAGGATGGTCTCCATCTCCTGACCTCGTGATCCGCCTGCCTCAGCCTCCCAAAGTGCTGGGATTACAGGCGTGAGCCACGGCGCCCGGCCGCATTTTTAACTTTTATGCAGTGATTCTGAAGCAGTCATCTGACAAAACTTTGAGAACTGGAGTATTACTGTATGGGAGCTATGTTTTCAGAGCATAAAGGAAACATCCCACATTTTCATTCGGCAGACCTGAGTTTATGTCCCAACCACAGCACTAACCAGCCAAGTGACCTTGGGAGACTCATTTAACCTCCCTGAGGCTCATTTGAATAATAGTGAAAATTCCTGTTTTGTGCTGAATAGTGCTAAAGACGAAAAGAGGCAGCGTTTGCAAAACCTTTATAAACCTTAAAGCCTCCACCAACAATATTGAGAATATTCTTACTGCTGAAGCATCTGCCAGAGGTGGCCAGTTTACATCCTTGATCTTATTTATCATTCAGAAGATATTTACTGCATGTCTACTGGGTAAGGCTTCACGGCGGATGTACTTCCCCTGGCCCTTATACAAGCGTATAAGGGGATTTCAGGACTCACAAATGGGCAATTAAACCTCCAGCCTCTTCCTGAGAGTTCTGCCCTCCATTTGATTCGCAGAACTTTCCTCTGATGATTAAATTGGCACCTCTGTACGAAAATGTTCCCTTCCCGTCCTCCAGGGAGGGGTGCTCTCCCATTATGCGCTTCACAAGGGAGGAGTGTGGCAGGCTTTGCTGTATATTGCACACTGTTAATTTTTAATGTGAAGAGTCAGACTCTGCCGGCTTCCTTTATGGTACGAATTGTGCTGCAGTCTTCTTATCCACTGTGCAACACACCCCATTGGCTGTTGCAGAGGTAGCTTTACCTTTCTAGGGGTGTCAAAATGGCAAATGATTTAGTTACTGTCTAAATAAGGGGGAAAGAGGACTTAACTCTGCTCATTGTAAGGGACTAGTCTGAAAGAGCCTCAAACGCATGATAATATAATTGCATGATAGACTGCCTGACAAGTGAGAGGAAAAAGAAAGCACTAATAGGAAGGAGGAAGACACAAAGAGCTACGGGGAGAAAAGTAGCTCAGGAAAGGGGGAACCTGAAATGTAGATGGGTTTAAGGCCCACTACGATTAAAACTTTTAGGTATCCCCATTGTCCATAGGATAGCAAAATCTTGTCCCTGCAAATAAGACCTTAACAATGACGTTTCAGCCTACTTGTTCAGTCTCCGATCTCTGGCCACACTGAATTTCAGTATTGGCAATGTGCTATGCTCTTTCATACCTCTATGACTTTGCGCAGAATTTTCTATCTTCTATCTGGCATTGCTATGTCTACTCACATCACTTTTCAATTTCCTATAGACCGTTCAAGGTTGGGCTGGAGTTTTCTAGCTCTTGTAGCCAGAATGAACTATTCCCTTCTCAGTCCTCCATGACCATTTAAAATATGGAAATATTGTACTAATTAATTTGATTCACATTCCTAAATATTTGAGTGCATACTATGTGCCAGGCACTGCAGTAGATGCTGGGGATATAGCAGTGAGCAAAACGAAGCCACTTGCCTTCTAAGCTTAATTACTCATGTATTGTCCATCTTTCCTTTTAGACAAGAGGGGAGGGTTTTGTCTGTTTAGTTCATCACTGTATTCCCACAGCCTTAGAAATGTGCCTGGCACACAGAAAGCACTTGATGAATAAATATTTGTTAAATAAACAGGCTTTGCCTTAATACTAAATTCTACTCTAGGATGCTAGTTAATTATGCTTTTCAACACAGACTTTAGGCAATTTGAGAGTAGAAGCCATACCTTCTTTGCCTTTTATATCTGCAGAGTAGAGCAAAATAGCTGGTATGTAGCAAATGTTCTGGAATGAATTAAATTATCTAAGCTTATTATTTTAGCTGCTTCTATATACTTCATATTCAAAAGCTGGGTGGCTATGTTAGACAATTATTTCTCCTGAGACAAATTAAAACCAAAGTGTAACCCTAAGAAATCTTTCTCTAAATATAGGGCTTCAGACAGAATTGGGAGGGGACAGAATCTGTGTGCATGGGAGTTGCTTATTAGGCAGTTTTGCTGGTGAAAGAAAAGGTTTTGGGAGTTCCCACCTTATGCCACAGAGATTGCTGCAAATTTACTAACATTTTTCATTGTTAGAGATGTTGATACAGAGAGTCACTCATCAGATAGAAGGTGAGATTCTAAAATTCCAGCAGTCGATAGTTCTCCATGCACAAAACATCATGGACTTCTGAGCTATCATTTATTTTCAGATTCTCTTTTGGGTTGCTGTCCCTTGGCCTGAACTTTATCCTTCTTAAACAACTGTGCAAAGAGTTCATGTATGAACAGCTATTCTTTGTTCATTCACAACATAGAAGGAAGAGGATTCATGGACTTCAAATATAGGCATATACATAACAGCATTTAAGTAATTGGCTTTAAATATATTTTAGGGAGTTGGGGTGGGGGAAATACATTCTTAAAATGATACATCTCAGAGGATATGCAGAGGTGTTTATACAGCCACTAAATGTGTATTGGAATGAGAGAAAGGAATAAATTCAGTTACATTCCAAGTGGATTGGGAAAGTAGAATTGCAGGAAAAATACATCATAGATAATCCACAAAGTGGGTAATCATATGTGAAAACTTGAGAGCTAACCCTAAGAACTAGATTTTAACTTCCCCGTGTAACTACCTCCCACACACACACACACACACACACACACACACGTTGCAAAAGGAACAAATGTGGTAGATGAGATCATGAGGCAAAAGCTGGGTAAAAGCAAAGGTGCATAAAAAATGGGAGGGAGAATGCAATGAAAAAGAAAAGATTCTGCAAAAATGAAAATTTGTCGAGTTTACAAAAACTGGGAATATTCTACAGAACATACCCAGGGCAATTACCCAAGGGGGACAAAAAGGATTTATTCAAAACTTGCCTGATGACACCACTATGAAGTGTCAGTATTTCAGGTGATAGCATAAGTTACAACACCTTAAAGGCCCTTTTCAGAATTCTACTTGAGTGTGTGTGAATTCCACAATAGTTCATGTACATTAAACAGCTTACTTTGAGATTCTGTTTGAAAAAATACCATTCAGAGGCAAGACCTATGTGAAGTTTCTACTCTGAGTGAATTTTTATGGCCAAATTAGGAACCTGGGAAGAGAGAGATTGTAATAAACGTGCTGACTCAGCAGTGAACTGCAGAATGGCAATGGGATATTATTTTAATGATGCTAGAGCTGAAATGCATCATTCCTGAGATTAGCATATCTGTTAAAAAACACATTCAGCAATCCAAGCTAAAGCATTTTGCCAGTGGTCAGCAGAAAGAGGGTTTTTGCACAAATGGGAAGACTGGGATATAGGATCAGCTCAGAAAATTTTGAAGAGATTACACAATTTATAGACCTAAGAGTTTAAACTGCAAAAGTCTAGATGGGATTTAGTTTCTTTTTGTCCTGGAAGTGTGTTCCTTAGCAAGTTCCCTGGCAGAGTTTGACTGGTTACACGGTCTACTTACATGCTCCTTCCCATCCTTCTAGTAGATCTTCCAGTTTATTAGTTAAAAATTAAGTCTCTTTAATTAGTTCATCCATCAGAAAGTTATTTAGTACTGATGGCAAACCAGGTACTTAGGATACTGTAATGAACAAAATCCAGCTTCTACCCTTAAAAATGTCATAGTTTAAAAGGGAATACAAACAAAACAGCTAGTAATTTCAGTCCAGGGTGAATTATGCCATGATAGAGATAAATAAGTATAAAAGACTATGGGAGCATCATAACACTATGGGAGCACAAACATATCTGACCGTCGTTTGGGAAGATCAATGAAATCGAAGGTTGAAGTCTTGACTTAAGGGTGGACTCAGCCTTTACTCTACTTTTCTAGAATAACTAACACATTCAAAGTGCAGCATCAACTTCATCAGACACTAAAATCAGTTTAATGTCTACATATGGGTGGAACCAGTGGATGAAATGGAGACAGCAAGTATTGGCCAAAGGTAATACAGCAAGGACATTGCATATCTTATAGGGAAATAATGTTGGCTAACTCCCAGACCACAGGCTTAACCCAGTGTACTAAGCTGGAGTCACCCTGTGATTTTTCACCATCGTCAGTACTTAGTTAAAATCAAACTAACACACTGGAAAAGGATGATTAATATGTAGAAAAGAGTAGTCCTTCAGAAGATTACGTAGAAAGAAAAATAAATTGTTATGCTCTTGAAAGAAAAGCTACTTACTTTTATTTAAGTTAATAAAGCTTTATTTGTTCTCTAGTCATTAAGTTTATAGAAATTAAAAGTCTTGACTATTTGTCTTTTGCCAACATGAATTTAAAAGTGGTTTTAAAAAATCTCATTAACATTGTGCTTTTTTTTCTGTCCCAAGCTGATTCAATACAAAACAGATTACCTCCTGTCTATGCCACTAAAGTGCACATAAATATTTCACAAACCAATTTATCTAAAAATTTTGTCATTCCTCATTCTGAGTCTGGACATAGAGTGCACTAGAAAGCACTTTAGGTTTTTCAGATAACATAATCAGAGAGGCAAGAGTATATTATATTTGCTTTTCTGCCTCTTGTCTGGGCTTAAAATATTTCACTTGGAGTGTTTTCAGAATTTTATTATGTCAGACTGGCAAACACACAGTTAATGGACTCCCAGAAAATACTTAATTGAGATACTTTAATAGTCAAAATAAAGTCCACACTATTGAGCCATAGGGGAAGGAGAGAGAGAGTAAACTTAGTTTTACCAGTTATGGTAGAAAAAATTATAGTCTTAATGAGCAGAGTGGTCCAGACCAGGGGTCCCCAACCCCTGGGCCATAGACAGGCACTGGTCCATGGAGGTGAGCGGCAGGCAAGTAAGCATGACTGCCTGAGCTCTGCCTCATGTCAGATCAGCCGCGCATTACATTCTTATAGGAGCCTGAACCCTATTGTGAACTGTGCATGTGAGCAATCAAGGCTGCACACTCTTTATGAGAATCTAACTAATGCCTGATGATCTGAAGTGGAACAGTTTCATCCTGAAACCATCCCCCAACCCCATCTGTGGAAAAATTTTCTTCTACAAAACCAGTCCCTGGTGCTAAAAAGTTGAGTACCACTGGTCTAGACCACTGAGAAATACATGCAAAGAAGAGTTGAGGAACCTTTGATCCTGAAGTCAAAGTTAGGAAACTGAATGGCCCTCTTCTGCTATTTATTATCAGGCTTTATGTGAGAAATCTATTGCTTCTAGGCCAGCAATTGGCAAATGTTTTCTATAAAGAGCCAAAGAGTAGAGAACTTGTGACCTGTAGGCTCTACAACCTCTGTTGCAACTCTTCAGCTCTGCTGCTGTAGTGTAAAAGCAGCCACTCACAGCTGATAAAAAAGAAATGAGCATGGCTGTGTTTCAAAAAAAAGTTTGCAAAAACTGGTGGTGGGCCAGTTTTGCTGACCCATGGTCTAGAAAATTAATAATTATGAATCTGAAGGTAAAACCCAAAAGGTACCAGGGAACACTAATCAAGGAGAAATGATCAAGTCTCCATGCCAATAAGACTAAATATAAGTAAACAAGGCCCAGCTTGAGGAAAAATATGAACTCAAAATAATAACAAAATGGGGTTTGAGTCTGAAATCTTAGCTTTGCTATCAAGATCTATGCTTGTCTAGTTTTCTCACTAGCAAAATGATATAAGCAAACATTTATTTCCATCCTACTATCCTGCCTACCTTAAAGATTATTTTGAAGCTGAAAATGAATTATATTTTTAAGTATTTTGGAAAAATGTAAGGTGGTATACAAGTGATAGAAATATTATAAAATGATTTACACAGCTCCTACATTGCTGGGTTCCATCACCAAATTCTGGGCCCTAGAGTTTCTAATCGAGCAGGTCCGAGGTGGGGCCCAAGGTCTAACATCTCTTATCATTTTCAAGAGACACTGATACTGCCAGTTTGGAGACTACTCTTTGAGAACCCCCACTGTACCCTCTTAAAATAGAACATAAATCCAGTGGTAGAAATGGAGGTTAAGTACACAGATGAAATTCCAAACTAGAAAATTTAGGATTAAGTACAGATTTACATATAGTGAGTATCCCTAATCATAAGCCTAATTTTTTTGGTCCAGCATATCATAGCGTTATACCTTCTATGGGAAAATTTATGTCCTTGGGATAGAGGTAAACATTGTTTTTGTAGCTTCCTAACTTAGATTGTGTTGACATCAAAGTATTATCATAACATTACATATATGTATAGTAAATATAGTTATGAAGAGTTTCAAACAAAAGCAATTAAAGGCATGGTCCTGATTTCTTTTAAGATGTGGATCTAAATGGATAGTGACCCACACACTTAACGCCCTGGGTATTTGCATTTTGACCCACTTGAAATCTACACGCTGTGATCATTGAGTGTGTGGACCATTATCCATTGAGTGTATGGTCAGAAAGGCCAGTTGTGGCAAGGCAGCATGGGCTCTGCGGTTAGCCAGACCTGACCTAAACCCTTTCTCCTCCAGCTCTGAGAGGGCATTGGAGGTCGAGTTCAGATAAAAGCACAGGCTCCAGACCCTGACCCTCTGAATGGAAATCCTGTCCCCACTTTTTAATAACTATGTGACGGTAGGGAAATTGATTAATTGCTGACTATTACCAAAAATGGCTAATGAAACAAGAATTGATTAAGTGCTAGGTGCTATTATAATTGTTTTGGAGATGTTACACTTAATTCTCACAACTCTGAGGTGGATACTATTATTATGCCCACATTATAGATGTGAAACTGATGAATAGGGAGATTAAATATCTTCTGTAGAGTCACTTAGCCAGAAAAAGACATATCTGGGGATATTATCTTCTGGGCGGTTTGACTCCAAAGCCCATTATGCTCTACTATAAGAGTTGGCACACTAAGGCCCTCTTGCTAAAGCCAGTCACTGCCGGATTCTGCAAATAAAGTTTTATTGAAACACAGCCACGTCCATCATTTACAATATAATCTATGGCTTCTTTCATATTACATTGCAGAGTTGAGTGGCTGCAACAGAACAAAGAATATATGGCCAACAAAACCTTAAATATTTACTATTGGTCCCTTTATAAAAAATGTACACTTACTCCTGCTCTATGAGGCCCTACAATTAGCTGTCTTAGCTATCTGGCAAGTTACTTCATTTATTCCAGTCACAGTTTCCCTCACTATAAAGTAAAGATCATACCACTGACCTTGCAGAAGCCCAAGAGCTTTCCATTTCTACTATACACTTATTCAGTCTGCCTATTAGAGGAAATGTAATCTAAACACAGGTTTGGTCACTTGATGCTTGCAGAGTCCAATTAACAAGAGCCAGGTCTGGTATAAAGAAAAGTGACTTTTTATTCCAAAGCTAGCTAAGGGGAAGAAGTACAGCCTTCTTCCCTTAAGAAGACTGCTTCGATTTTGCAGCAGAAAGAGGATGCTTTTAAAAGGGGTGACTATATAGTGATAGAAATGAGCAGGTGGGGGTGGTCCATGTGCTAGTTTGGTGCCTTATCTACTGAGCAGCTGAGCTGGTGTCTTCGTGGGCATAAATAGGTTTTAATGGTGGCCAAAAACTTTCCAGGTGGGAGAAAGTTTGTAGTGGGCATACTTTAGGTTGTAAGTCAACTGTTATCTCTTGAGGCAACCTCCTGGTGGTTGAGAGTTCTGTTCTGGAATTTGCCCTGTAGGAAGTGTCCAGTGAAGAGGAAGTAAAAGGCTATTATTTGCATCTCTAAAAAACTAAGTAGGAAGGGGGGAGCAGGGGGAAGTGGAGAAGAGAAAAGAAGAAAAAATAATTTAAAAAATAGTAATTCATTCTCTTTTCTTAGAAAAATGGGGATACTCAATTACAGAAAGTGTTGCTAATAATTTCTTAAATTGTTTGACCACAGACGTTCTGGCATGTTTTGCCTCTCAAAGTCTCCCGTTAATACCACGAAGAACTATTTTTTTCAAGGAGCACAATTTGCGGAATTTTAATAGGCTCATGGTCCAGCTGCCTCATTTTCACATAAAGAAACAACTCAGGCATTTTGCATAGGATTTCACTGCTAATCAGGCGATGAGGGGATTTGAATCAGCTCTCCTGATCTCAGAATGGGGCTCCTCACCCCTGCAGGTGGTGTGCTATCATCTTCTATCCAGTCCTCCCCATGTTCTTTCAAGTCACATGGCTTTCCTGCTGTCTGTCAAACCTTTCTTTCTCAAGACAAGACTGTGAGCTCTTCGAAACTAAAATTCATACCCTTCTCATCTCAGCCCCCAGCAAATTGAACAATGCTTGTAATGTGGTTGGCATTCAGTAATTGCAGATTGAATGAACAGGAGATTGAACAAAAGCCATGCCCTTCCCCAGCATTTGGGATTTCATTTCTTCCTTCAGTCACCATCTTCTTTGTCTAACTTTGATATGAGGTGCAGATATTCCCCATTCAAACTACAAGAATTTCTCTTTATTTCAGTATATGCAAAATGCCCTCCATCACAAAATACATATATGATGCTGTAGCTTGCATTTATTTCAATTAAATTACATGAAATCAAGGGCATATATTTGTAAAAGAAAGAAGTAATATGCAAATGGCAAAGGATCCAAAAAATGTTAAGGTCATCACAAAGTGAGGCCTTCTCATCTCAGAGTACAACTCTAGCATTTAATGATGTATTCTGCACAGGTCATGGCCCTCTATTCTAGCCAATGACTGTACCTTATATTCAGCTGAATAAAGACTAATGTTTCCTAACCCTGAAAACTTGACTGGGTAAGACTTTTTGATTGATGAGACCTCATAGCCATCTCCAAGCTGACACGAAAAATGGCCACAATGTATCTAGTATCTATGTCATCAAGATTCAATAAAGAGAAATGTATATCAGCTTCATGAGCAAGTCATACAACTTACACCTTACAAGTTGAATTTGAAACCAGCCCCTACCTGCAATGCCCTTTCACTATACCGTATGCTGCACACATTCATTGCTTGCAGAGTTATGGATAAGAAAGTAGGGATTCTCAAAGCTTGCTGGGAAGCTAGCTGCCTGGACCCACATCACAGAGTGGGGAGGCACTTCTGAATCGGAAATGTGGCTGAGAAATTTCAGCAATATGAATGCCAGTGTAAAAGATTTGCCAAAATCTGAAGGCCATTTCCTCTCAATCTGGGACTGTCAGGCGAATAAAAGGCAAGCAGAGCCATTGGATTGGGCCTCAATATTTGGGTTGCTTTCCAGGGGCAGATTTTGTAAGGGGGTTGGGTGAAGCCTCATCACAGATTTTAATTTCCGCTCATTCTAAGAGAAAGCTATTGATCTCTGGAACTTGTTAAATCCAAGACTGAGGGAATAGATTGAGAGTAAAGGGACTCAAATGTGAAAGTTGGCCAGACCTCACAGCTTTTCCTCATAAGCCAAAAAACAAGACACAGTTTTTCATTATTATAACTCAAATCCTTCAAACCAAGTAGACTTATTTTTGTTAATAATAAAGCCAAAGGTGATATCTGTCTATCCACCTAGCAGTTGATAATGCTAACAACAGTTCTGAAATGAAATTTGTAGCCAGAGCTATTTGGAGATAAACTGAAGAAGCCAGCCCTATTTGGAGATAAACTGAAGAAGCCAGCCCTATTTGGAGATAAACTGAAGAAGCCAGCCCTATTTGGAAATGACTAAAGAGACCACATATGAGTTTTTATTATCTTGGTTAAATAAATGGGAAACATAAAACCTGGGAGATGAGACCATAAGATTTCTTAGTCTTTTCTATTGATTAGAAAACATCTCCAGAAAAGACTCAAAACTGTTTAAAAATAAAACTGTATTTTTTTTCCTGTTTGCTCCTGTGCCTTCCAAGAAAGGCAAGGCTTTTTCTCCTCCTCTTTACAGCAGTTGGGAGAAATGAGTTTCCAGTAAATAACAAGCTTACTTATCAGATGTTCTTGATAGAGCTGTGATCATCTTCATTGCAATTATTTTTAATATCTCTTGGCAATGTTCTGCTTTCTGATTTAAGATCATGAACCTATAAAAGTTTCCTACCTGCCACTTAACATTGACCTCAGCATGAATTTCTACAGGATGCTCAAGAGCATGTTGTAAGCACAAAGACAGCAAACAAAAATAGAGAAAAGCAATGAAATAAAAAATAAATGTAACAAATAATAATAATAGCTTTCCCAGCTTTCTGAATATGCTCCAAACATGTTTTCTATATCATGGCTATTGTTTAAGTCAATCTGAACTAAAATACAAGAGCTGGGCTAGGATAATCTGGCATTAAAATATAAAAGTTTGTTAATATTGTCAGAAAGAACCTGAGAACATTTTCCCCAGGGCTTATAAAGGCAGTAAAGCACAGTGGTTATTGGCGACAGAATTAGGATATCTGAGTTCTAACTCATCTTCCTCATTTCCTCTCAGAGAAGTAACATAACCTCTTTGTGCCTCAGTTTTTCATCTATAAAATAGGGATATTAATATCAACATTAAAGATAAGGATGGCATTAATTAAAGCTAGTACAAGACTTATTATTTTTTTCCCTGGCACAGAACACATACTCAGTAAATTATAGTTATTATTAATATTATAAAGATGAAAATGATGCTGTTCATCATTTTGAAGTTATATTCATTGTTAAATACCCAATTCAAAATGTAGGTCACTGAACTGTTTTCCCTTCTAGATACAATACAGATAAAACAGGTTAACATTAATGGATCATTTTATTGCCCAACAGATATGTGCTGAGCAATGTTTATGCATTTACTCATTTAGTGGGCACAGCAGCCACAGTATCTGTTCCTATTTTGCAGATGAGGAAACTGAGGCCTAGCAAAGTCATGTAGTTTGCCTAAAATCTCACTTAATAAGAAGCAGACCCAGGAGAAAATAAAACAACCAAGCAGACAAACAAGAACATCTACCTGATTTCCAGTCTGATGCTTATGACTACCAGGCAGCGTTGCTTACAAACTCAGATTGCATGCCTGCTTTTGGATCCTCATTCCTTCTTATTTCCCAGATACCTAGTTAGAAGGGCTAGCCTGAAAGCCAAAATCTCAGAAATATCCTGACTGCTGGTTTAAGAGTCTGTCCCTTTCTCCAGACCTTATTTGGGATGCTGGATCCTCTTCCCTGATTCTGCTGCAGTAAGCCCAGTTTGGTGCTTGTGCTTTTTTACCATGTTCCGGGCTAGTATATTCTGCCACTGCACTTAGTTTCTTCAAAAGAACTCAGATGTCAGAAACGGTACCCTTGGGCCAAATACAGTCTGCTTGACCCTGGGGTTTGGACCACCTGGTACTTGAAGGGGGAAAAAAAGTAGTAACCTAATTATTGCAACCACCTGCCTGCAACCGCTGTTGTGTTCCTGACTGCTGCCAGGTGCTATGCTGGCAGGCTTGGATCAATTAGTAATTGTAACTGAAGCTGAATGCAATTAATTATATAACTTTAAGCTGTTCAAGTTTGACACCCTGCAATTACTTCATGAAACTGGGATATAATGGAGGTTTACAAGAAATGAAGAGAAATTATTATGAATAAGATTTCCATCAGTATTTTCTTTAGGTTTGGATCATACTCAATCTTCACGTATCATGTGAAGCACTTTCCATTTTCCCTTTATGGATGGAATGATTTGTTAATTTCCAACTTGTGGCCCAAGACTTTTAAAAGGGGTGGCTATGACGCTCATAGATCACAAGGGACAATCACTTCCCCTTGGGCCACACAGTGACAGGACTTCTACAAGGCATAAGAGAGTGGAATAGAGTGTGAACTAAGGAGTCACAGGGATTAGGGTTTGAGACATGGCTCCATCTGAAATAACGGGGCAGGCGATATCCTCACTCAACTTCCATACCCTCATCTGTAAGTTAGGGATGATATTAATGCTGGAAAAAGTAAGCAAGACAGAATCTACAAACTGACTAACGTAATACCTGGCATAAGGTAAAGGCTTGGTAAATGCGAATGTGCTATCCCTGTCTGCTAAGGCTGCACAGTTCTGGGGGTTGGCAAGCCTTCTACTGAGAATGTCATAGTTATAGCTTCCCCACTGATCAGGCACTGCAGAGTGATGTAGTGGCTACTGACCCAGGATTTGGAGTCTGCTGTACGTGGGTCCTTGTCATGAATGCCACCTAATGAGGAGTATGCCCAGAGATGAGTAATACAACTTATTCAAGTCTCAGTTTCCACATCTTAAAATGGGAGAAATGTTACTTAACTCATAGGATTGGTTTGTTAATAAGGCATGGGCCTGACGTAACTGGTTTGTTGATTAACTGGGTTGTTGATAAGGCATAACCCCGATATAAGTAATCAATATAATCAATGCATCTCAACTTTTATTTATGGCAAAATTTTAAAATTATGATTTGTATTTTTCTCTTGGTCTTTTTCCCTGTCTTCATTGCAGAATGGTAGCCAAGCCTTTCTATGCTCTCTTCCTCCATTATGTTTGGTGGGGGGCAGAAAATAGAAGTTAAACAATGTCCCAAGGGCACTGGGGAGAATAGAAGTGTGTGGGGTGCGTGTGTACTTAAGAAAATGACAAAAGTTCAAGCTGAGGGAGAGAACTACCCCCAAGGCAGGGCCCCCAGAACAGGGAAAGTCACATGTATTCCCTGGCAAAGCCTAGAGTATTAGCAAGAACACTGAGCAGATGGCTATATGGCTTCTCTAAAAAAGGCGGACCTGGTCTCTGGACTCCCATGTGGGGATGAAAGGAGAGACACATAAGCCTCAAGGAAACAGGGGTTTGGAACATGAGGATTGCCAGCTGCAATATTATAAGCTAAAGAGGCTCCACTTTGCAACTAAGTTCCCTAGATTTTACTATAATCTAGAAGCAAAAGGAAGCCCCAGTAATAATTGTAGCAGGAGGTGGCTGAATGCTCACCAAACCCACTTTCCTGCCTAGGTACACTGGGAAATTACATTTATCAGTTTTCCCTGCAGTAAAGGTGGGATCTTGCAGGTGGATCTTGTAGGTAGATCTGGCCAATGGATTATGGGAAAAAGTGATGTAGACAATTTCTAGGTCTCTAAAACCCTTCAGGTGATGTGCCATGCTCTTTCTTTTTGCTTATTAGCTGACTGGATGCAGAGGATGAAGGAGGGTTATCTTAGGATGTTTTAGAAAATACTGGCAAAAAGAGATGGACAGATCCAGGATCCCTGAACACCAAATGAAAAGTCACCTGCCAAATAAGCAATCAGACAATGGCAACACTAAGAAATTAATTTGCTATTAAACCACTAAGAATTGGATGCTGTTCATTAAGCTGGCTAGCATTAATTACTCTTACTAATAAAAGGCCTGACATAGGATTTTTCATCATCCCTAAAGGATGGGAGTTAGAAAACAGAATTAAAGTGATTGAAGGGGAACAGAATATAAGGAAACTCACACTTAAGTTTGTGGATAGCTTTCTTATTATAAAAACTGAACTTTTCACGCAGCAATCTAAGCAACACGTAGGCAATAGCAATGAAAAAAGGCAAGTATTTCTTACCATGGATTGTTCTGATGACTAATTCAGGGGAGTCATATGACAGGGTTCTCTCGCTCAAGGAAAATGTCAAGGTTGGAGTGGCTGTCTCTTAGCCATGAGAACACCATGGATTCATCAGACAGAAACAAGAATCTTAACCAACCCATGAAGTTCTCTCTGCAAATACAAGTGATGCTAATTCCTGGCAGTTTACAATAAGTAAAACATGAACAAATAAAATAAAACGAGTCTGTGAGAGCTCAATTCCAAAGACCTTCAAAGCCATAGGAGAGCTTTGCAAATGACAGCTCAGAAACATCCTCATTTCTATTCACATCTTTCAGCTTTCCCAGCAAAATTCCTATTCTTTCCACTCTCTCATCTACCACCTTCTCAGCTTCTAATCATGACCTCAGAGCTCTCTCCAAACTGCAGCACTTTTTAACTGGTCCTTGAAAGTGTCCTGTGACCTGTCATAAACAACTTTATTCATTTCAGTGATTTGAAGCATCTGGGAAATAAATTTTATTAACTCCACTAATTGGGTCTGATGTGAATAGTTTGCTATTGGATCTATATATAGACACACCTGGTTGAGCACTGGATCGTGTTAGATTTTGTATCATTTAAAAATATTTGCTGAGAAAATTATGCTACCAATAGTCACCTAGGGGAAAATGATAGCTTGACTATGAGCAAAAAGAGTAACTCATTTTGTCCATTCATGAGTGAGAAGGACATTCATTGATTTGTCTGCCCAACATCCATTCCCTCTCCTTGTACTATTAAGACTCAACTTCCCTTTGGGGACCAAGCCTCCCTTACTCTCAGTTCATGTGACTTATAAGCAGCTGGTCCCACTCTCCATTCCCTCCTCTCTCTAGTTTCAGGACTTTGGAAAAGATTCAAGTTTGCCCAGGGCATGCCACCCTGCTGATTTCTGCTTGGTTCGGAGAGGAGTTACCCAGGCCCAAGTCCCTAGGACTTCTCAAGGAATTACACTGAAAGATGAACTCTTTCCATTGGGAATTTAAACCTGGCAGAATATAAGCCTGGAGATGGTGGGGGCCACCTCATCACCACTTTGGAAGTGCTACTTAAGAATAAAGCCAACACAGAGGAGAGGTGAACCAAAACATGAAGAGAAAAGTATTGGTGATGATTATGGTTGAGCACCTAGATCTAGCTGTATTTTAAAAGAGCAATTAATGGCCTTTTGAGCTTCAGCTACTTTGATTTGGGTTTCTCTAAAAGCATCAAGTCTTCATATCATGGGACTGAATTTAACTGACAGCATTAGGGTCAGATTTCTGTGGTATATTCAGTCATCTTTGACTTTGGACTGTCAAAATTGTCTTGCTCACTGACTTGCACCAGGGTTTTACAGCACTATCACTGTGTTTACTTCTTATGGAACTTGTCAAAAAGTCATAAGCTTTTTACATGACTAAAAATTATATAGATGTCTGGGAGGTTTGGGAAAACTGCAAAAAAAAATGCAGATTCCTGAGCTCTGCACCCAAAGAATCTGACTTAGCAGGTCTTTTGAACGTTCCACAAACCAGCATTCTCAACAAACAGCCTAGGTGATTCTGATGCAGGTAGACACACTTTCAGAAACAGTGCTGTGGCAAAAAGATCAGAACTCAGGGCTCTGTGTCATATAGAAATGAATTTCAAATCCTGCTTCTAAGGCCTACAAAATTATTCTTTGGGCAAATTTCTTAATCTTTGTGTCCCTCAACTCCCTAAATTATAAATGAAGATAATGCCATCATAGAGGGCTTTGTAAGATAATGTTTATAAAGAATTTACCACAGTGCCTATCATGTAGTAAAACTCCATTAAATGATGTCTATTGGTAATTCATTTACATGAATGAGCTTCTCAGATAAACTAATCATTGCTAATTAGAATCCAGTAGCATATAAGATTTTGTAGCAATGAGACATAGAATGTATAAGTTTTGGTGTAGAACAGGGGAAGCAGGCTATATTCCTCAGTTCCATAGTTTGAATGTGTTCCCCAAAGTTCATGTGATGGAAACTTAATCCCTAATGCAACGGTGTTGATTATGGTGATTACATCATAAGGGATCTGTCCTTATAAATGAATAAATGTCATTATCACAGAAGGGGGTTAATTATCTTAGGTGTGGGTTAGTTATTGCTGGAGTCAGTTGCTGATGAAAATCGTGAGTTTGGTTCCCTTTTCTCAGTTCTCAAGCTTTTTTGCCCTTCCACCTTCCACCATGGTATGACTCAGCACAAAGGCCCTCCCTTGCCTGGAACCTTGATATTGGACTTCCCAGCCTCCAGAACTGTGAGCAAGAAATTTCTTTTCTGTATGAATTACTAAGTCTGGTGTATTCTATTACAGCAACACAAAGCAAACTAAGATATTTAGCCTAATAAATGTTCTGGTATACAAAGGACAGGAAAATATCAAGAAAAGCTGCCTGCCTTACTTTATAATCTTGCCTAAAGCCACTTAGGACATTGTCAATATAATTTTAGCCTTCACACTGAACATTTTTGTACATTAAATAACAATAGCTTAAATACATAAGTGAGTAAAGCAATGGAACTGGCATAGTATTACAAAATATGTTGCAGCTTGTGTAACAGTTATGGCTATACAAAGGAGAATGTTAATGGTGAAAGGTGTAGAGGGAATCAAGAGGATAGCTGTGTGAGGTATAAGTCTATGTGGCATTGTTATGTGAAATACAACATCCTGAGTTTGAATAAACTCAGGATGGCCATCCTGAGTTTAAGTCATAGAGGCCCCATGTCAGCAAGTCACTTAGTTTTTTAGTTTCTAGTTTCTAGTGTATAAATTGAGGAAAATAAAGCCAATGTTATTAGGTTGTGTTGAGGACTCAACAAATTGACTGTGCAACACTCTTAATAAAGTGCTAGCCATAGGGCTAATGCTCAACAAAAGTAGCTATTACTGTTATTTCTTATTATGGTTTTACTGAAGATCTTGTTTTTTAAAAGCTGGCAAAAATGAGAATTTTTTTTTCTGAAAAGAAACATTTTAAAATTTTTTACAGGCATGACAGTGAGGAGAGGAAGCAATCAAAAATAACCTAACTCATCAATTTCAATAGGCGGGAAAGAAAGAAAGAAGTAAATGAAGGGTTAAAACATGTACTTCCTGCCAGTACCATCTTGCAACACCTCATTTCTCAGATGAGGCCTTGGTTAACACTCCTCTTGGTGAAGCAGCAAGAACCCACTAGTACCAGTCATGGCTCTCATGTTAAGGAGTCTCCAACAGCTATCTCCAAAATCCATTTTTTAATGATTTGCCTTTGTTGCCATAACAGTTGCAAAAAATGAAAATCAATTCTACAAATTTCTTAATTTCCAAACTGCCCTGGGCTTTGGCTGATAAAACAATGATTTAAGTCAATGGCTGAGGTGGGAATTTGAGCATGTTCTTCAAGGATAATCACCAGGCTCCTCCTTGAGATGCATTTATTTTTAACCAATTACTCAACCTCTGAGTGTGGTGATTAAACAGAGAAGTGTAGGAAACACAAAGAGTGGGAACTGCAAACCAGCTTCATTCGTCTTTGTATCTTAGGAAACTGCAGGTGTGTGTTAATGAATTACATGACTGGTAAAACAAAATTAAAGGCAGCTGCATGTGTTTACAAAACTGCAGCAGCAAATTACAGGTATCTGTAGCATCCATAATTCATCCATAATTTGACAATTTTCATATTACTGAAATAAAGAATCAAGTCATGCAGATGATTACAGTATTTGCCTCTCAGCACAAGAGACCTTGCTTCATTACCTATGCAGTATCTCAAATGAAATAAATACAGCTTTTCAGGTGGAGGTGGACCTTAAGATAAAGGAAGAAAGTATTGCAGACAACCCAGCCCCCAGCTCCATCTCCTATGCCTCTAACTTCTATTTCCTTGTCAATAGAAGAAAGAGTTTGCACACAACCTTTAGAAACACACGTGCTAGGTCTTCTTTTGACATTGCTTCCTAAATCTAGAATCCTGAGGTAAGTTTCTTAAGACTCTGCTAAAGTTTTGAAGTTTGTCCTCCCAAATATCATGTTGAAATTTTATCCCAAAGCTGGAGGTGGAGTCTAATCCGAGGTGTTTGGGTCATGGGGACAAATCCCTCCTGGCAGGCTTGGTACCATCCTTGTTGTAATGAATGAGTTCTTGCTCTATTCATTCCCACAACAGCTGGCTGTAAACTACAGCCTGACACCCCTCTCTCTTACTTCCTCTCTTGCCATGGGATCTCTGTCTCCACACACTGGATCCCCTTTGTCTTCAGCCATGAGTGGAAGCTCCTTGAGACCCTCATCAGAAGCAGATGTTGGTGCCATGCTTCTTGTACATTCTGCAGAACTGTGAGCCAAATAAGCTTTTTTTCTTTATAAATTACCCAGTCTCAGGTATTCCTGTATAGCAACACAAAATAGACTAAGATAGACCTTGTGCCTTCATTTCAATTTATTTATCTGTGAAATGGGATAGCCTTAGTGACTAACAGAGTTTCTACATTTACTTTAGTTAATTAAGATTAATTGACCTCATACAGGTAAAGTGACTAGTGTAATGGCTCACCCCAAGTAAGCACTTAGGGAAAATTTAACTATTAATATCTCCAAGCTTCAGTTTTCTTAACCATAAGTTGGGGGTAAAAAACGTTGCTTACTACATATGGTCATCAGGAGGATGGAATGAGATAATGTGTGCAAACAGCTTAACTTACTTCCAGGTACACTCAGTATTACAGTCAGTAGTAGACATAATAATAGCAGCAGTTGTATCTAAAATAGGCAGAATAAAATAATATTGCTAATCATTTAAAAATTTCTTTTATGTATACATCCAAGGCAGCTTATCACTTCTTTGAAAAAGAAATTCATTTTGGTATTCTATATTCCATTTCAGAGTGATGTAGATATTATTGGGGACTGGATTTTTACAAAGCATCTTGTACTTGAATAAATTTAATCTTGATAAAAAATCCCTGTATAAAGGGATGTCCTGTGCCTTGGGGGGATAACCCTTAGCTCTGCCTCCCCAAAGAAGGCTGAGCAGAGCTGCACCTGGGCTTCTCTGCTGCTTGATGAGGATGAATCAGGAGGCTGCTTTGGAAAGCTGCCGGAGTTGGGAGGAAGGCTGAACACAGCACGGAATGTGACAAAGACAGCGCTGAGAAGCTACACAGACACAGGCCAAACGCTTTTCTGAAGTCTCTCTGACATTCCCAGAACGAACTTTCTCAAACACCTGTCATTGCACAGATGAGATCAAGGGCCTGGTGTGAACTGTTACAATTACCATCACTGGAATTTTGGAAGACAAGACAATGAAAATGTATAGTAAATTTAAAATAAACTTTCTGAGCCAAACTGATCTGAACACATGTCAAAGCTTATTGCCCATTTATAAGGGCCTCTGCAGGCAGAATACATTCATGCAAAATGATATGAGAGAAGGAGGTTAAATACATAAGGCTTCTTGCAAAATACAGACTGCTATGCTACGTCAAATAGTTCAAAAGGTCATATGTTTACCAGAGGTAGGACAAATTTGTGGCACAATATGTAGCCATCTTCAGATAGGACCCATTAGTCAAAAAACAACAAGTAATCTATGAGAGAAAAAATGACAAGCAAATTGATCTGTGGCTATTAATTAGACAAACTAGGTAACAAAGTTTCTCCTGCCTCTTCTACACAGAACCAATTAGCACTGAGACTCTGAGCAGAGGTCAAAGACAAGAACATTGGCAGAAGCAGAGTCCTGCTTTTTCTCAAATTTCTGTAGCATATAATCAAAGGCACCAAATAATTGATTTATTTCTCAGAAATTGAGGCAACATTTTTCTCTCACAACAATAATGTTATATTTTATATGTGTTTGGCACATCATTTTACCAAGTGTGTTTTCTCTGCCACATTTAATGCTTACAATAAGTCTGAAAGGTAGGCAGGGCAGGTGTGAGCCCTGTTTTATACACAAGGATCAGGACATCTAGAGAAGTTCAATGTCTTTGCTCAAAGCCTATCATTAAGCGGAAGAAAGAGCCAGAGATGGAATTCACGTTCAATAGAGCTACAAAAAAAATGTTTTGCCCTCAAATCTTTCAAGTGTTTCAGAAAATTGTCTCTGGTTGGAGCCGGTGGTAGACACAGATAGAGACATGCATTCAATGCCATGGGTGGTTTTGAGGAGTGTTTCATATTCTTTTATGTGATGGTCAATCAGGTGGGGCCACTAGAGGAGACAGGAGAGGCTCAGGAAAGCGAGCTTAACATATTAAGTGGCCCTAGAGATCGAAGGCATGGCACGTTGCATGAGGCCACATGGGAGAGACACTAGGCTGGACAAGAGGCAGAGGCAGGAGCAGAAAGTTGGGAGGGGGGGATATTTTGCAGCCTTTTTTGGAGTTTTCTTGGGAGAGGCAGGGGCGGGTAAACTATTGAAGATCAACTATTTTGGATAATTTGGCTGGCTCTAAACTATAAGAGTGGTCCCTAGTTGCCTGATACCTGGCCCTGGAGTGGTTAAAGCAGAGGAATGTTGCCTTCTGGGTATATGGGCCAGGTTAAGGAGGTATGGCTCAGGATTACTTAGTTTCCATAACAAGGGTATGCTCCTGGCTGAGTCCACTAAGAACCAATTAGCTCTAGGACAGGCAGTCTCTCCCCAGCTAGAAAGTTTTTGTTTCTTTTTAAGATGCCAACACATCATTATATATAGAATATATATATATATATATACACACACACACACACACACATATATATATACACACACAAGAGGTATTTTAAAGTCCTTGTTCTCTCTTTCCACTAAATCCATCAGCTCCAGCATCTCCAAATTTCCAGCCTGATTTAAGCCATTTAAGTCTTTTCAAATAAGAAATCTATTGTATAAAGGTAGGCTTACCACTTCAGAAATTATCACCTTTAGCATCTAATAAACAATGTTATTAGATGAGCTATTTTAGCTGTAGGATTTTCCCCAAGTGTATTCTGTTAGAATTTCCTATGCTTACCCTGGCAGACCTCTCAACCTCAGTTATAAATTGGGATCACCCAGGAAGAGTTAAAGAACTACTGAAATCTGGGTTCCACCCATGAGATTCTAATCTAGTCTTAAGATATTTGTAGATTACTTAAGGGGAATTCTAGAGTAAACCATAAGAAACATGTTTTTTAAAAAATAGCAGGACTTTTCAGAGCCTTTAATACATCCATGCATTATGTGGGTCCCCAAGATGGGGAACTATGGTTCATGGTGTTTGGCAAACTTATTTTTATTCCACAGTCCTTTGGGTGTTGAACATCTCCTGAGATTCTTGTTCCACACTAGCCTCTGAACGCTGGGAGAGGAGGAGGAAAGTTTTGGTGGGATCTAAGCTTTATCAAGAGTCAAAGGCACCTCTTAAGGAGAAAGACGGCATCTAAAGATAGATGAGATAAAGACAAACTTCCTCATCTACACCTTGCTACACAAAGTGTGGTCCCTACGCCAGCCTCAACAGAACCCCTGGGAGCTTGTTAGGAATGGCAGAATCTCAGGGTCCCCCATCTTAGACCCACTCAACCAGAATCTGCATTTTGACAGGATTCCAAGGCAGTCATACGCATGTTAAAGTTTAAGAAGCAGTGCTCTAATACCCCAGTTTTTCTCAAGCTCTTCCAAAGTTCCATCATTCTGACTTTGAGGAAACTTCTACCAATGTATCAACAGAGGTTCCTTCTGTAGAAAATCTTTAACATTCTATGGAAAAAACTGATAAAATCCAGGGTTGTGGTTGCACAAGCTTGAGGGACAGGGAGGGCAGTGATAGAGAACATGAGGTGGACCATGTCCCCCGGGTTGTGTAAACCAAAGAAATTGTTTCAAAATGGAGGCTATACCCTTTGAAAGATGAAGGCTTTTTACGTCAATTTTGTCCAGGAGCTTTATGAATTCAAGTTTATCAGTACAAGTTAATACTTTTTGTGTACTTCATAGGGCCTAGGCATCTTTTTTCTTTTTATTCTATATGTATTTTATCACATAGTAAGGAATGCTGAGGTGCTTAAGCCATCCAATAAATTGAAAATACAAACTTTACATTTCTATATTTGTCAGTATACAGGATTCTGAAGATGAATCTTGAACTCAGAGTGATAAGTCAGTCTTCAAGGAAAGCCACATAATCCGTCAGTCTGGCTAACTGCTGTTCATTGGGTATTGGGGGAAGTGGAGCAGGCTCTGATAAGGGAATAAACTTGTTAAAGGAAACATCCAGGGCCCCTGCAACTGGCTTTCTGGGCAGAACCATTCTTGTGGTGGAATCAACTTGCCATCCTTGTTCTAATAAGCCTTTCACAGCCTCTTCTATAGGAAGTCCAACAAAGGCTGCAAAATCATCAGTGATGATTGAAGTATATGCTTGAGAGACCAGGGCAAAGGTGCGTCTCCTTGTTGCATCTCTAAGTGCTTCCATAATTGGCTGGACTGTCTCAGACCACTGATGAGCGTTGATGGTTGTATAGATCCCAGGGAAATCTCTCTGCCAGACTCTTCGTCCTACTGACCAAATTCCCCCAAGTTCAGAATTTGCAGATTTTGTAGCAGGTGGTATTCTTTTCCAAAGATATCTTGCATTATTCATGTCATTACGGAGCAAACATAAAGCTAGACGCTGACCATACACTGGGGGTGTAGCAATTCCTCCAGGGGCCTCGAGCTCCTGGTTCTCGCACTGATCCAGCAACTTTTTGAAACTAAAGGCGCTTTCTGCCATCACCGCCACTGGCATCTTCACGGCCGGTCTCCGGGCCTAGGCATCTTGATGCCACTTTATAGTCATTATTTTATATTATCATCACAACAACTCTCTAAGATATGACCTATTATTATCTCCAATTTTTTGATGAGGAAATGGAATGTAAATGTAAAAGACATTGTGCTCAGGTTAAAAGTCAAAGAGCATGGAGTTAAAAGAAGCAGAAGCTGGGATTTGACCCTAAGTTGAACTCTGAAAACTGCACTTTTACTACAGAAAAACTAGGTTAAAAAAATTGTAAGACGGACTACTGAAGTGGGAAATTAAAGAAGAGTCCAGGGATCACATTTGAAGAGAGATTGATATAAAAGGTGTGGCCAGGAAACATATTCTTAGTTTTGCCTAATTTTAAATAAACCCTACATAAGTAGCCAATGGGGAAACAAACATTTGCTACATGATTACAATGTCCAATCATATTAACAAATAATTTTCATAGCAATTTTGAAATCTACAAATAGCTACCATCTTGTTTTGTCCCCACAGCTGTTCAGTGGAGAGTTTTACCATCCACGTTTTTAAGTACGAATTAAAGCACAGAAGTCCTGAGATCTCAAAGTCAGGAAGTGATGGTCATAAGATTAAAAGTCAGGTCTTAAAACATTCAAATGCTGGGCTCCTTATACTTCAGTACGGCCACCTTCCCAACCATCAGATAAATAGTATGTTCTTCAAAATAAAGGACAGTGCATACCTCAGTTGGCCAGCCCAACATGGACAGGCAACATACAGCAAAGGAAAGGGCTCATAGAAATAAATGGATAAAACAACAATAACAAAATTTAGAAAATGCCTTCCAAGAATTTTTCACACTTTAGCAGATGCTCGATACTAACAAATGGTCGGTCCTGGTACCTAGGAGCACAGAAAGTTATTTTCCCACGGCCCTTAAATTTGTTTTTAGGGTTTTCTTTTTTTCCTCTTTCAAAAAGAATGTTTCTGCCAAGTTTTCTCAAAAACAAAAAGAACTTAAAAAAAGAAAAAAAAAAAAGACTCCTCCAGGGTTCCTGCTGACATAAAGAGCATGTTGGATATGCAGCTGCCTGTCAGGCACAGTCATGAGGGTCCACGGGGACAGGGACACAGAGGAACCAAACTAGGTTATGGGTAAAAGTACCCTGGAATTCTAGGATTGGCAGGGATCTTAGGAGGTCATTTAGTGCATTCCTTTGTCTCCAGGAATGACCCATCTTTCTCTATTAATTTAAAACAAGATTCATTCTGTTTTAGGGAAGCTGTAAAACAACTACTGTTACTCTTGGTTTGGCTCAGTGGCTCTCAACCAGGGGTGATTTTTCCCACTCTCTTCCCCACCCAAGGAACACTTGGCCATGTCCGAAGACTCTTCTGGTTGTCATAACTGGGGATGTCATAACTGGCATCTGGTAGGTTGAGGCCAAGTATGATGCTAAGAACCCTACAATGGACACAACAGTCCCCACGACAAGGAATTATCTGGCCCCAAAGTAAATATGCTGAAGTTGATAAATTTTACAAAAGAGAGAAAGGGAGACCATTGTGCTTTGTATATTGCTGTCAGAGTGTTAGTAGAAGGATGGATAATGTGATGTTTAAGAATACAAGGGCCTATCCTGTAATGGGACTAAATTTCTTATGATTCAGAATCATAATTCTTCATAAGCCAATGTAGTACCCATTTTTTGTATGTGTGGCCAGACTGTCATAAATCCCTATTTAGCTATTAGACAGTAAGTGCCATGAGGGTAGAAACTATATATGGTTAATCTCTATTCTTCCAGGACCTACCACAGGGAATAGCACATAGTAGGTATTTAAAATGTTTTATATTTCTCTATCTAAAACTTTAAGTCATCTAGTTATGTAAAAATAGCAAGATGGATTTTCACTAAATAAGGAATATGTACTTGAGATTTTCTGTCTTGAACTTAAAGGCCATTTTGTGTACTTGATATTTTGGAGTTCCCTAGGTGAGGCATCTTAAAGAGTCTTCCAGAGCAATCGAAACCAAGAAGGTTTTGTGACTGTAAGTGGGGCACGACATGTTATATATATGAAGATTTTGTACACTAAAAAAAAAAAATAACGATTTCCCACGTGAGTCACAAAGTGAAAATCACAGGAGCAGATTCTCCAAATTGTGAATGTTGCTTTGCTTTCCAGAAGGGCAACCCTGTTTAATTATGCACCGGTCTGCTCCATGGAAATGAGCTGCCTCTGAGAGGAATATCTTAAAGAGATTCAGAGCTGAGCAATTCAAGGCATGGGGTGTATTTAAAGTGCTCTTGGAAAGCTACCAACTACCACTATCATAGACACAATCCATTTCTGTTTTAACAGGAACTTCTTTAGCCCACCCTGTTAGAGTAGGAGGTTTTGCCAACTTCCTTTAGACTTTAATTGATAACACACAAATCTGTTGCCACAGATGGCTGGGTGGGCAGCATCTGAAGCTGAGACCTGGAGAAAGGCTTCCCACCCCCAGCAAATGCAAGAACGTTCAAGGACTGCACATGCACAGTGCACCATGGAAACAGAATTGAAGGAGGAGCTCTGGGCGCCACACTAAAGCACAGGGGGTTTGGATGAAAGGCGTCCTTTAATGCAGAAGGTTACAGGTTCCCAGCTTGCCTTTCCATCACATGCAAATAAGACGCATGGTTTTGAATCCTAGTTATACCAGCTACTAACTGTGTGATCTTGGGCACTTTAACTTCTCCAAGTTTCACTTTTCCCATATGCAATAGAGATTTATATTAACATTTTCCTTTGGATATTTAGAGAAGCTTGAATGAGAAACAAAGCAATTTTTTTCATTAGTTATTAGCATTTCCTCATGTATGGAACAAAACTACCCTGGAGATAATCTCTCTTCTTTTTTATCTTTCCCCAATATGCCATGTGGGATCTAGGTAACTCCGCTAAGCTAGAGGTAAAAGGGCAGAAGCCAAAAGTCAAGGAGTTTGGTAACTTCAGATTCTTCAGAGATTACTGATGGAGATTCACAACATGCCAAGTGCTCACAAGAAACTAAAAGTGACCTGGGAGGGAGAACATCTTAGAATGGGGATAAAATTTGCTGAACTGGTTCTTTTCAGTGGCAGATGACTGAAGTTAACCAAAGCTGCCTTAAGGAATAAATAGGAAGACACCTGTCAACCCTTATCAGAGATGAGAAGCGCAGTGGAAAGCTTCAAGCCAGGTGGTATCCAATTGTTCAAAAGGAAGAATCAGGACTCTATCTCTTTCAATGTTTGGCCTTGCTTTCTTCTGTGTTGGCTTCACTGTCAGCAAGGTTCCCTGAAGCAGTGGCCCTGAGGAGCTCCAAGCCTACATCCTTTCACTGTCAAGGCCAGCAGACCAAAACTTATCTTTCTCAATAACTCTGGTATAGGTATTAGGATTTAGTCTGATTTGATCAGGCCTAGGTCATGTGTCTAGTTGGGCAGTGGGCATCCCACCAGAACTGGGTAGATTGTAAGGGCAGAGGAGTTATCAATAAAAGGAGAGACAGAAGTCAGTTAGACAAAAACAGAAGCATCCACTGCACTTGCTGACGACCTGAGTTCTCTCTCTTAATAAAGGGTTTGTCTACTTCTTTCTCTCCTGTCATATAATGAGGATGATTATGGAATTGAGGTGAACAAGGCCTGGAACTGTGAGTATATTATGTATAGCTGGGCTGAAAGGAGATTCTTGTGAGGTATATACATCTCATTAAAGAAGTGTCCACCTTAGACATAGGGGCCACATAAATGTTGCTTATTTCTTGTGCAGCAGTTTGGCTACATGAGAAAAGTAGATTCTCACAAGCTGCTGCCCACCATTGACCCGTGGCACCCGTTTGGTTATTCTTAGACTCCAAAGAGCTGAGGTTATTAATGCCAGAAGGGGAGACTAGCTTAGGTACAGTACTTTAAGTATAAATTCAGTCTGACAACCTCATAGGCAAGCAGAAATTTGTATTCATTCTAGAAAATTTCTGCCATGTCATTCTCTAACTCAGGTTTGGTATGTTTCTTTTTAAGCTCATTGAAGTCACTTTAACAAATTATACATGGTTTTAAAGACAGCAGAGCACCTGGGATTCCTAGTTGTATAGAGTGAATGATAGGAAGCAGCAGGGCAGTAAAGGGGCTAAATGCCAAGATTTTGAAGGTAGGTATAGTGGGCTCTAAAGCCCTGGGCAAATTATTCAACTCCCATGAGACCATTTGCTCTTCTATAAATTAGAGATAAGTTTAATACTGACTATTGCCACTGAGTACCTTCAATGTGTCCTAGTCTTAGTGCTTTATGTGCTTTAATGCACTGAATTCTCATACCCAACTCCATGAGGTAGCCATCATTGCCTTCATTTTACAGATGGTGGCACAAGAAGTTTAGGAACTTGATCAAAGTTGGAAGTCAAGTAAGTGGCAGGAAAGTGTTCAGCCCAGGACTCATGCAGGGTAGGCACTCAAAAAATGTTTGCAGTGGGAGAAGAGTTGGTAATACATGCACTTCCTCTTTTAGAAATGTATAGTCCAAATGTAGAGGATATCATCCAAGATGACTGAGGAGGAAAACGTATGATTCCTCATTGGAAAATGCAGTAGCTTAATCTTTCCAGAAGAGGAGGTTTGTTTTCAGATTCTAGTAAGAGAGCATCATACTCAGCCACCTCTGAAAAATGCCCAAGCTCCTTCCTTCGGAGTTTTGGGAGCAGATCACCTTTATATGCAGTAAGTGAAGAAAGGCATCGGCCCCAAAGCCTGCTGTATTTTCTGAATCAACTTTGATAACCAACCTCAAGTGCTGTTGTCACCAAATTAGCCTCCCACATAGGCTGTGAATAGATGATATGACAGGCTAAAACCTCATATTAACTGAGGCCACCTCAATTAACCCACTATGTATTCTTCACTGCAGTTTGAGATGCAAGAGTGAAACTGAGCACAACGAACCACAGGAAAGCCAACTTGGGTGACATCTACTATTTATTGACATATTTAGAGTCTCACTCCAGTATTTCATTTAGTCTTAACAACCACTCCATGAGGTACTATTATTATCTCCATTTTGTCGATAACAAAACAGGTTCTTTGACATTACCCAATATCACATACAGCTAGTAAGCCATAGAGCCAGCCAATAATAAACAACTTGTACTCTTAACCACTGTATTCTCAGTTTCCCACATTGACATGGGTTGAAATAGAGCAGGAGATGAGTTCAGATAAGTAAGATGAGGCTTGTTATTGATTGCTTGGGATTCCTGTAACAAACTCAAGGCTTAATCAAAATGCAAAAACTAAAGCTGGCATAATTACATGATCTTAACTTTTTCATGCCCTTAGGGTATTCAAGTCACGAAAAAATTGCTGAGGCCCAAGAAATCTCCTAGTTCATTCTATAAAAGGAAGCAATCTAAGTGTCCCAATTATAATTAGCAATTCCATATATTTACTTCTTTTTTTAAAGAAGAGAATAAGGAAAGAAATGGCCACAGACTCTGTCTTTATTATAACAAGACCCACTGTGCCCAAAGTGAATCAATATTTCCCCATAATGTTACTTGTTTTCCATTGAATTCTTGGGAAATTATACAGAGAAAAGCAATGCTTACAGTACATTATTACATTGGTGTTAGGTGGGGAATTATTCATTCCTACATATTATTGAAACAGTGTTCACTCTACGGAACCTATTCCCAACTCTAACTTCCAGTGGTGTGTATTTCTCCTCTTACTGCTATTTAAATACACAATTACTTTCTAAAGTTAATTGACCTGATATTCGGTATGTCAATGTTTGCAAGAGATAACATAAATAAATATTATGTATATAATGATGGATATAACAATGCAGTAGAAATTCATTTCCTAATGGAATTTTCTTAATTAGAGTATGTTGGTGTTTCCAGAATTCCAAAGGCACATCAATGCACATCTAAAATATAGGACAAAAACAATCTGCCTGTTTCTACATGGTCACACTCAAGGGCAGTAATTAACAAAGCAGAGGAACTGTCGATATGCTGGTTCATTCTTAGTTTCTCCCTTTGACAGAGGCCCATAGAGCCTCAGTTTCACTACTCCTGGCAACTTCCAGTAATGTCAAACATATCCTAACTCTACCCTGAAAAGACTTGTAATGATTTAGTCCCTTACTAAAGGCAACCTCACTGTTATGAAAACCAACTATCAAGAGTAGCAAACAGCAAGGGCAACTTCCAGTATTACTGAATACACACCATGTGCTCAGTTCTGTGCTAAGTGCTTTATACTAGTTATTTTATATAAACTGCTCATGTAGACGGAGTTTCCATCTTATACATGAGGAAACAGAGGCCAAGATAGTAAATAACTTGTCTCATGTTCCATCAGCTCATAAGTGGTGGAGTTAGGATTCTAATCCATCTCTGCTTAATTCCAAAGCTCACAGTTTTAAAAATTGCTCCACCACCTTTTACATAAACTAAACAAAATGGCTAAAGAAATTCAGCCTTGATAACAAACATTTCGTGTTTATTAGGATAGAAGAAGCTGTGCTGTGGTAACAGACAATCCCAGAATCTTTGACTAAACATAAGCCACAAAACCTGATGTACAATATGTTACTTTCCTAGAGCTCTGTATTCATTGCAGTGCTCCTGGTGACTTTTGCCTTGTTGCTACACCATGTCAACATGTTTCTCGTGGTGAGGCACCTAAAATCTGAAGGGATCTTGCACTAGCTCTTAAATGCTTCAGCCTACAAATAGCACATCAGTTCTACTCTTGGCCACTTCTTGTCACATGGCTCTGCTCAACTCCAGAGAGGCTGAAGAATATGGGGGAAAACATGGATATTCACTGAGCAGCAAATGTCTCTACTATGAAACTCTCGATGATTGTTAAGTAGGAAGAGACCTAATGGGCTGCTTTCTCACCTTAGGTATATACAAATATATTCCATTAGGCATTTTCAAATTCTTTGCCCTAATTTTCGGGAAGTAAATATCTACTCATTGAATCCACTTTTTTTTTTTTTTAAATAGTAGCGAAGATTAGTCATGTGTGGTAACAAAGAATTGGGATATTTGGCTATAAGAAAATACTTTTCATAAAGGTAACTGTGGAGTAGCAAGGCATGGATTTGGACATCTTTCGTGCTTTAGGGCTACTAGCATAACATTGCTATTTTTCTCTCAACAGTTTTTATGGGAAAAGGCCAAGTTTAAGTGCCAGCCAGACGTGAAGATGACCTATCTGGGCCTTTCCTTACAGGCCTCTTGTGATTTACTGTTTATGGTTCACTTTCTGGCCACAGCTGACCAACACAACCACAGGTTCAAAGGACGTCCATATGAAGGCAATGACTTGTGTGATAGGAATCTTTCCTTTTATCTGTTTCTACTTCACTCAAACCTAGAGGTAAGATTTCAGAGTGGGAAAACCTCTGCATCTATACATTTACTAGTCTTAGTTTCATTTGTGTTTTCTGTACTCCAGGAACCTATCAAGTTTCTAGAACTTTCTATCATGCAGTATTGCACGGTCCCACTTCTTACTGCTGCTGTTACTCACAGGTATGCTGCAATTTAGAACATACTTTCTCAGCTTAAAGTCAAACTCTCATTTTCTGAATATAATCCAATGGGATAAATTATTTAAGAAAGCCAAAACATTGAAGGGAGGTCAACACTTGTCAAGGCTTGCTCTTTCATTTAATTATAAAATTGAAAGAACAACAAAAAATAGAACCTTTGGGAACTAAAAGAAAAAAAAAAAGCAGGACATCTATATGAAATAGTTTGAAGTGACTGAATGCTTGAGGTTTTTTTGTTTTGCTTTGTTTTTCTGTTTAGAGGAGTCTCTTAACTTATTCCATGACAACAGGAGAGAGATTTTTCCCATAAAGTACTCCTATTTCTGGATCTTGAGCAAAGAGTTTAGAAAACAATATTCCTCAGACATAATAGAAAAATCATTCTGGTGCTTTCAGTCTTCTCTTTTAAAAACTTATATTCTTGAAAAATTATTCTGAGATTTTTCCCTCAGCCAAATCCTTTGGGTCTGAGTGGCTGCTGACAGTCCTTAATGAATAGGTAAAAAGAACACTGAAGTATCCTTTGAAATTGCAGCAAACCACTGGGCTAAAACTTGGTATCAACTGCAATACAGATTAATTGATCCAAACCATGTCTCTCCAAGATGTACACTGATGGAAGAGAGAATCCAATGCACAAAGTGAATTTTAATCATTTCTTTTTGACCCATATCCATGGAAGTAGGATGCAAATTAAGCAAAAGGAAAAAAAAATCCTCTGCGCTTTCCCTGGTGTCTGTTACTCCCTCCCTTTTTCCATTTAGGAACTCAAACACACATATTCCACTTCCTTCCCAATGTGTTCATTTTAAAAAGAGAGAAGCAACGAATGCGCCCTGTGAAGGGGTTGGGGTTGCCATGGAGAAGCCGTTCCAGGTAAAGAACAGTCACTACGGAACAGTGGCATGCAACTTGTCAGCAGAAAGGCTGCAGCGGCCCCAGAGCGATCATAATTTCTGTCCCCACTAATATAAATACAACCACATTTCTGCTGGTCTCCAGAAAAGGCTCTGTCCTTTTGTGGGTGTACCTTTACTTTACAGCAGAGCTTCAGCCTGACTATTTGCATTTAAGTCAATGTATATTTCAAATGCATGCATATTTAACCGAACCCTAATGACAATGCTTTGTTGAAAGCCTTTTCTCCTCCTATATAGCATTTCTGTTTTCGGGTTGCTTATATTGGTTTAAACTTATAGAATTCTGACTCCTGACCTCTGCCAGTGTGAAGGAAATATAGGTCTATCATGTGTTGCCTTAGTTTGCCCTCATTCTTGAAACTAGGCTATCAGTCAAAATCAGAAGAATTTTGACTGGTAATTGACTGATAAAAAGAAAACTATTCTATTTGCCCTCATACTTGAAATGAGCTATGAGTCAAAATCAGAAGAATATGTGCAAGTCAATCTTTCTGAAATTCAATCTGTTTTTCTCTGCTGGCTGAGAACTACTTAAGCATATGTAAGTAAATTTAGGCTTGTTCATTAGACTTCAGCAAAATTTCCCCGGTTTTAATGAAAAGAAATACATTTATATGCACATAAGATTCACCTCCCCCCAAATATGTGTGAAACATACATCTGGCATCATATCTACCATTGTTTAAATGTAAAAGAAAAAGGGAAATTTTGATAAATTAAAACAAATGAAAAAATGGCTATTGTCATTCAGTAACAGCTGTTTAAATAAACTGCTATTCGGAAAGCCAAAATGGTTTAATCCTTAAAGGATCAACTTCCAACTTTGAGCATACAAAAAATACCGCTGATATTTCTTAAGCATCTATTGTATTACAAGCACAAGGCTAGGTATTTTCGTTAATCCTCAAAGCAACCCTATGAGATGGTGGTTTACAAGCAAGAAAATAGAGGCTTGGAGCTGCTATGCAACTTGCCAAGTTAATTCTATTGTGCTAGAGCCAACCTGGGGGTTTGAACCTGGGTCTTGTAGACTCTAGAGTGTGTGCTTCTTTTTCCATGCTGCCTGGAAATCAGGAAATTCCCAAATTCACATGCAGGATCTCAGATATGCAAAGCATGTGCCTGCCCTACCACTGAGTCCTGGGACAATGTCAAAGAAGAAATTATAGGCTTTGTTTGGCCAGAGCTAGCTACCTGGAGATGTATTACAGTAGATGTTGTTTGATGACTACCTGAAATCGATTTTCCCTTCCTCTTTACTAACAGGTGGCAATGTGCCCAGTTAAAAAACTGCATTTTCCAGGCTCTCTGACAGATATGTGTGGCCAGTGGAATGTAAGTAATTCAGCAAAGCTTTTTAAAAGAGTCTTACTTGGCTGAAATGAGACCTTTTTGCTTCTCCCCCTGCCTTGTTCTTCCAATCTGGAACACCACCTCCCTAGCCACTAATGGCTGAAAAATGAGCAATAAGTCATAATCACAAAGCAAGCCAGAAGATAGAAATCACATACTAAGAAATTTTGCATGCCTAAAGACAGTGCTTGAAGTTCAAGCATCATGTTACGTAAAAGAAAAATTAACTTCTATCTTATTTAAGCCACTATTATTTGGGGTTTCTTTTAAATGAAGCCAAAACTAGTTTCAACAGAAACTTACATATTGTTTGAATAAGAAAGAAAAGGGAACTGATTCATGTCCTTACCTTCCCAATGACAGTAACCTCCTGGAGGCTAGAGACCCTATCTCTTATATTTCCTTTTAATATCTCCCCAGCATCTAGAATTTTTCCAGACAAATAGCATGGAGTCGATAGGTATTTGTTTACTTGACACAGTGGCCATTTTAGAAGAAGCACTGAGCAAAGTCTAACTTTCTGGATGTCAGCTTTTTTTAAAGCTAAACCCAACTTAAATATTCTAACTATAAGAAAATGTATCCTGGACAGATTCCAGCAGGCCACTGACACTGACTGACAGTAAGAACCAGCTGTTCCTCAACCTGAAGAAAACAAGAACCCAAAATTAAATTTGTTTGTCTAAATGTCAGTGGCTAACAAAGGAGCTATACGGATCTTTAAATAATTACAGTTGGCAAAGAAACAACCATATGTACGTGTATATATATAATATGTATACACACACACACACACGCACTCAGTACTTTGAGAAACTTATCCTATTAAGAATTTGAATGTGACTTGAGCGTTGGTCTCCTGATTTAACCTCTTTTCCTTTCAGAACTCACTGTGTCCTTGTTCACCTTCAGAACATTGAATCCATTCACTATCAAATCTCCAATCTCCCTTCCACTCTTGTGCCCACTTTGCATATTCACTCTTCCCTTTTGCACAGGCCATTCTAGAAGGCTTTCCTCTCTAGCCAACGACTCCAATGAATCAATCATTGTTTTTTTTTTCTCATTGTTTTTTTTTTTTTTTTCCAGTTGTCATCACACTTGTCATTTCAGCTGAATCCTATCTCTACTCTGAGGTCCAGTCCAACTCCCACACTTTTCAAGGGTCCAGTCCTGACCATTATGACCTCAGAAATATCTTCATCTTTTGTGAGTCCCTCTTTCTTTAACTCTCTGTCCAATTAATTGTATCTTTATTTAGAACTACCCTTTTCTCATATGGATATTATGTCCCCTCAGCAAGTTTCTAAGGTTTTTGAGGGCAAAGACTGTGTCCTCTGCCACTTTGGCATCCATGGACTGCCATGCTCCCTAATATCTAGTAAGCTTTTGTTAGTGAGGGCAGCTTGGTTGTTTGCCTTTGGGGTTTGGATACAAAATCAATGTGCAAAAACCAAAAGCATTCCTATACACCAATAAGAGGCAAACAGAGAGCCAAATCATGAGTGAACTCCCATTCACAATTGCTAAAAAGAGAATAAAATACCTAGGAATCCAACTTACAAGGGATGTGAAGGACCTCTTCAAGGAGAACTACAAACCACTGCTTGAGGAAATAAGACAGGACACAAACAAATGGAAAAACATTCCATGTTCATGGATCAGAAGAATAAATATTGTGAAAATGGCCATACTGCCCAAAGTAATGTACAGATTCAATGCTATCCTCATCAAGCTACCATTGACTTTCTTCACAGAACTAGAAAAAACTACTTTAAATTTCATATGGAACCAAAAAAGAGCCCATATAGCCAAGATAATTGTAAGCAAAAAGAACAAAGCTGGAAGCATCATGCTACCTGACTTCAAACTATACTGTAAGGTTACAGTAACCAAAACAGCATGGTACCGGTACCAAAAGAGATATATAGACCAATGGAACAGAACAGAGGCCTCAGAACTAACAACATACATCTGCAACCATCTGATCTTTGACAAACCTGACAAAAACAAGCAAGGAGGAAGGATTCCCTGTTTCATAAATGGTGTTGGGAAAAGTGGCTAGCCATATGCAGAAAACTGAAACTGGACCCCTTCCTTACACCTTGTACAAAAATTAACTCAAGATGGATTAAAGGCTTACACATGAGACCTAAAACTATAAAAACCCTAGCAGAAAACCTAGGCAATACCATTCAGGACATAGGCATGAGCAAAGACTAAAACACCAAAAGCAATGGCAACAAAAGCCAAAATTGACAAATGGGATCTAATTAAACTAAAGAGCTTTGCACAGCAAAATAAATTATCATCAGCATGAACAGGTGACCTACAGAATGGGAGAAAAGTTTTCTAATCTATCCATCAGAAAAAGGGCTAATATCCAGAATCTACAAAGAACTTAAACAAATTTACAAGAAAAAAACAAATGACCCCATCAAAAAGTGGGCAAAGAATATGAACAGACACTTCTCAAAAGAAGACATTTATGCCACCAACAAATATATGAAAAAAAGCTCATCATCACTGGTCATAAGAGAAATGTAAATCAAAACCACAGTGAGATACCATCTCACGCCAGTTAGAATGGTGATCATTAAGAAATAGGAAACAACAGATGCTGGAGAGGATGTGGAGAAATAGGAACACTTTACTCTGTTGGTGGGAGTGTAAATTAGTTCAACCATTGTGGAAGACAGTGTGGTGATTCCTCAAGGATCTAGAACCAGAAATACCATTTGACCCAGCAATCCCATTACTGGGTATACTCAAAGGATTAGAAATCATTCTACTATAAAGACACATGCACACATATGTTTATTGCAGCACTGTTCACAATAGCAAAGACTTGGAACCAACCCAAATGTCCGTCAATGATATACTGGATAAAGAAAATGTGGTACATATACACCACGGAATACTATGCAGCCATAAAAAGGATGAGTTCATGTCCTTTGCAGGGACATGGATGAAGCTGGAAACCATCATTCTCAGCAAACTAACACAGAAACAGAAAACCAAACACCACTTGTTCTCACTCATAAGTGGAAGGTGAACAATGAGAACACATGGACACAGAGAGAGGAACATCACACACTTGGGCCTGTCCGGGGGATGAGGGGCTAGAGGAGGGATAGCATTAGGAGAAATACCTAATGTAGATGACGGGTTGATGAGTGCAGCAAACCACCATGGCACGTGTATACCTATGTAACAAACCTGCATGTACATGTATCCCAGAACTTAAAGCATAATAATAAAAAAAAAAGGTTAAAAAATAGGGAGTTTCTATGATCATTCCTATTTCACAGGTAAAAAAGCTGAGACACAGAAACTAAGCAATATACCCCATTCTACGTCTGCTAAATGGCAGAGCCAGGATTCCCAGCGAGGCTCTTGGGCTCTAAAAGCTGAACTCCAGCCAGGATACTACAGTGATTGTAAGGCATGAGCCTTGAACGCTGATGGCTGTATGCAGCCCAGCCCCTCTGCAGCAGGGCTCACAGAGCATCTGCCTCTGCCTGCTCAGTAGCTAAGGTCTGGGCTTATTCTTTGTGGATGTAAGAGCTCACAGCAACAGCTAAAAAGTTTGCTTAATCTACTTGGGAGCAGCACTAATAAGGACAGTAGCAGTTTGAAGAAGAGCTGAAGCATGGCAGTGGGGAGTCTAAAAATAAAAATAAGGATGCAGGAAGGGTAATACTTGAAGGTAATTAAACGGTGCTCTTCTTCCCTCTGGGGAGAACAAAAGCCAACTAATTGGCCAGCCTAAACAGCTCTGACAGCACCTTAGAGACCAGCTCTCCTCTTATGTGTGTGTGTGCGTGCGTGTGCGTGTGTCTGTGTGTTCAGAGATGATTATGGCAAGAGGGTATTACACGTTACCCAGATCATGGGAAAATATGGGATCTGAGAGGAATTATAATAGAGTCACTGATAAGTGCAAAAAATAGCCATTACTAGCTATGGTTTCAAAGGTCACATGCATGACTAGTTATATATGGTGCAGGCAATCTCTCTGGGACAACATAACTCACCAATTCACTCATTCCTTATGTGCTTATTTCCTAAAATATTTAATAAGAGCCCACTATATGCCATGCATTATCCAGTTACTAAGGATGAAATGGTGAAGTCGAAAAAGCTCCCTGTTTTCGTGGAGCTTGTCTTTGACACTGGGGAGGCAGACCACAGACACACCCACCAATGAATGAACAAGAAAATAACAAGGAAAGAGACAGTGCAATGAGCTAGAAAAGGATAAGAAGACTCTAGCCAGGGAGGACAGGGAGGTAGCTAACGGAAAGGTAATATTTGAGCAAAGGTGTCCAGGATGGGAAGGAGCCATTCCTACAAACTGCTGGTGAGAAGGGAGGCTTTCAGGCAGATGGATCCAGAGGTGCAAAGGTCCTGAGGCAGAAAATAGTCTGATGTTCTCGAGGAAGGGAAATGTAACTGGAATGTAGCAGGAGGGGAACGTAAGATGAGAAAAAAGTTGGAGAAGTGGAAAAGAACCAGACAGAAAGGGCTTTGTAGGCAGTGGCACAAACTTGGCATTTTATTCTAAGAAAAGAGAAGCTTTTAGAAGGTTGTAAGAAAGGGAGCACAGTGCTGTGCTGTGGAGAGTAATTTGATTACTGGGTGGAGAAATGGTATTCAATGGAATTAGATGAGAAACAGGAAACTAATTGGGAGACTGCTGTGGAAGCCTGGGAGGTTTGGTTGAGTGTGGTAGCAGCAAAAATGGAAATAAATGAAAGGGTCAGAGCTGTATCTTGGAGAAAGAACCACATTTGCCTTTTACCCAAAGGCTCCACTGCCCCAAATGTCCGCAGCAAACTGCTCTAGTGCCTAAAATTCTTGGAATTAAATAATTAAAAAGTTAATGGGTTATGTTAAAAAGTAATTCAAAAAATAATTTTAGGTAGTTTTCTTCCAGCCCTAGCTTCTTAAATGAATGGCTGCAATGCTGTCCACTAATTCTTTACCTTCACGGATACCCTTTGGGCTCTTCATTCCAGGGCAATGCCTGCCCGGTTTTCCTGGCAGGGTTGTCATGAGAAGTTAATTAATTAATATTAAATAAAATAAAAACCTTTAAGGCTTTGTGCCAGTTTCCAAACTGAAACCTGTGTATAAAATTTTGCTCAAAGAAGTGTGAAAATTAGTGTTTTATAGTCAAAGACACATATAGGCTTCTACATTGCAGGACTTATCAGAGCCTTTAATGAGCTAACATGTATGAGAGTCTTCAATGAATAAGAAAATAACAAGGAAAGGAACAAGGAAAACAAGTCTGCTATATTTCTCAAACTTACTTCAAGAAGGAACTTTTTTCTTTCAGGCCATGTGGTTACGATTCCCATGGAACCCAGTATGTCAAACACTGTATTACAGAGATGAGAAAGACTATTATTGAGACACACCAGGAGATCTTTCACAAGGTCTTTTGAATTTTAAAATTGAAAATTTTCCATCAAGGAAAAAATATATACATAATATGTTATAATATGTAACGTATAATTATCCATGCTTTGAAGAACAATTATCATGTTATGGAACCAGCATCTTGCCTAGGTCCAAGACATAAGGCATTGGTCTCAGAATAAAATGGAAAGGGATGCTTATGAAAGACACCTTGGAAATGTTTTCTCCCTTAACCTACACAAGAAACCTGTGAGGTAGTAATGATGATCCCCATTTAACAGATGAGAAAACTGGAGCTTGAAGAGATTGAGTATCTTGCAGTAGTTCATCCAACAGATGTGTAACCAAAAAGTGTACTTCTCACCTTTATACAATACAGCTCTTTTTAAATGCTGGGATTGGGTGTAGCATTCCTTCAACTTGTGTGGCTTCTATTCTAATTCGAACCACAAGTAGCAGCGGAGAACAGAAAAGACAGTCACAAGGTTTACATCCTGGCTTTACCACTTACCAGCTGTCTGATGTTAGGCAAACTGCTTAACCTCTCTGATTTCTGGCTAACTTATCTGTACCAGACAGAAGACAACAAACCCCCTCCTGCCCCACTCGCCCTTAGATTTGTCATGAGTATTAAATGGGACAACACCAGTCAAGTACTTAGCCCAACTCCTGACAAATGGGGAGCCCCTATGAAATGTTTAGACTAGCTTGTCACTTTGTATAATATCATTTGTAGAAGTTGGGATTTTTATTTAGAGAAATGACCTACTGAGGTAATTTTACGTCTAGTCCAGTTTAAATGACAGAGGATAAAAGCTGAAATTTTCATTTCATCTAGGAGCACTACCTTGTTCTAGAAATCAGTTTTGAGTAAAGGCTTCCTTTTCTCTCTTTCTTCTTTGTTTCCTGGAAGCACTCAGTTTGGAGTTAACTCGCTGAGCCTGAGTAATAAGAGAAAAATTGGAATCCCAGTGAGACATAAGGACTTAGTTGCTGATGGCTAAATGATTCCCAGAGTCCTGCTTTAAGTACCAAATATTTCCTCTCCACAGAGCATATCCACATTGCATCAGGTGGGGAGAAGAGCAGAGAGGACCAATCATAAGAATTTGGCAGACAATCAGGTGCAACAGTTCTGCATGTTTTGGTGGGGAAGTCTGCTCTAACTACAAATAAAGCTTCTGATTTAAAATCACACCTTATTCTTGCCTTAGTTAAATCTACAGGAAATCAGTTTTTGACCTTTAAAACACAACATCAGCTTGTTCATAGTCCCCTTGTGAGTTACTTGTCTACTTAATGAAATTGTTGCCTGGCTAATAAAGTTGTGGTTGGAGTCCTGCCTCATAGCCATTAACCTCAGGATCTGTGAACAATTTCCTATTTATCACACTCTAAAGTCCCTTAGCAGCGGGATGTATGGTCTTGCTTAGAACTGAATTTGGATGGCCTCTAATCATGATGAGTTTAAAATGGGATGCAAGATGTTAGATTAGTATAAAGACTACATGGAGTTAAGTGTGTAGCCTCTGGAGAAAGCCTGCCTGAGTCTGAGTCTTGGCTCCACTGATCATTAATGGTGTGACCCCTATAAGCTTGTTCTTTCAGTTTTAAAACCTGAATAGCAATTATGATAATAATGATACCTACCCTACATCAGTGACTCTTTATGAGGACTCAGGGAGAGGTAGAGCTTCCGAACCATAATAAACACTAGTTATCATTATTATTACCAATACCATCATCATCACCACCACCATCACCACTTCCATTAGCATCATCACCACCACTACCAGTGCCATAAGCATCACCACAACCACCACCACCACTGCCATCAGCATCACCACCACCATAATCATCACCACAACCACCACCACCACTGCTATCAGCATCACCACCACCATCACCACCACCACCACCACTGCCATCAGCATCACCACCACCACCATCACCACTGCCATCAGCATCACCACCGCTACCATCATCACCACCGCCACCACCACCACTGCCATCAGCATCACCACCACCACCATCATCACACCACCACCACCACCATCATCACACCACCACCACCACTGTCATCAGCATCACCACCACGACCATCATCACACCACCACCACCACTATCATCCACTGCTACCATCACTACCACCACTACCATCATGATCACTGTCACCTTTGTCCACAACAGCAGCAGCCGTGCCATGTTTCACCCAAACCCATTAGCCAAAATCTTCAAGACCTACTCAATGTATTATACAACATTATAACCAAACAACATTACAACATTATAACCAAAAACAGCTTGAAAGCTAGCAAGATATTAGACAAAAGCTTTACTGGCAGCAAGGTTGAGTCATTAGTGCTGTTCACTTTAGTCTCTTTTAGGTAGTTTAATTAAAATATTCCGCCCTTTGTCCATTTTCTCTCTCTCACACATTGCCAATGACCTTAACGTTTTATTATTAGTCATTAAACAAGACTCATTCTCTTTTTAAAGTTTATCTATACAGACCTCCCCCTCCTTTTCAGTGACCAAGAGGAGGCAGACTTGCTCAGGAACTCCATAATTTGGATTGGTGAATTTTGCTTGTGTTCTGATTGAGTCAAAAGTCAGCTAAGATTATTCATGAGTTTACAGTTTCCACTAATTGTTCTGGCAGTGAAGCTCTAGTGTATGCATTTTATCTTTTCAGGCTACATAGTAACATCAATTCTTCTCAATCAGTATCTGGAAACCTTGAGTTCATCAGATTCTGCAGATTAAATGCTCTAAACCTTAAGTCTTTTCCTCTAGAAAAGATGAAATTACGAACCCATTGCCTTGAAGAGGTCGTGCAGATCACCTTTGTGTATTGAAAGCGGGTATGTGTCCACACATTGAAAGAGCATCCCACATTCTCAAGTCAGCCTAGGAGGCCTGTTGTGTTGTTACGTTTGCAAGTAAAATGTGTGGCCAATTGAATGTCCACATAACATGATGTGCCTCTGATACCAGCTTCCCTTATTGTGCCCAAATATTGCCCCATGATGTAATGTTAACTGTGCATCTTTCCATAAGCTCCCTCTTGAAAGGTGTGTACCAAATAGTTCACCCTCATCTATTGTCCAAACCTGGGGTGGGCCCATAACAGGATCAATGATTGTAGCTGACTTATAAAACATTTATATGTTTGGAATATATACATTTTTGAAAAGATAGAGAATCAACAAATTTGCCAACTTTTTCTCTTCAAGATTTTGGGGGAAAATTGAATACTTGCCAGGACCAAAGATAGATGTAATCTGGCAAGATATAAGAGCCCTCCAAGGAAGATTTTGACATCCTTTACCACATTGCTGGTGCCACATTTAGTAAGTACAATTGAGCAGTACCCTACTGATCTTCTCATTATCAAGTTCCAGGAAGCATGTTTATTAATTCACTCATGGACTCCATCATTCAGCTAGCATTTGCCAATGCTTACGGGTGGCCAGATGCTGTGGTAGGCACTGGGGAGGCAGCATGGAACAGGACAAATGGAGTTTACAGTAGATTTGCACAAAGACATCGGTTTGATCAGTAGGGTTTTGGAGCAGTTTATGTCTTACTTTGGGTCCCCAGAAATCAGAGCCTGAGACAAGGACCTGAAAGGTGATTCTAGGAGACAGGAGCGAAGGAGCAGAGAGAGTGATACAATTAAGGTTCAAAATCAATTAATGGATGTGTTTTGAAGGCCTCTGTTGCAGGCGTCAGGGGTTCCTGAGAATCCACAGAGCCACTGAGAAGCATGTGGAACACTTTCTAGAATCATCTACCTGGAGGATGAGGGGCTGCATAATTTACCTACCAGTCTTTATCTCCATTGGTGAAGGTTGCATTGGGGCTGCCCTTACACACAGGCTAAGCACACTCAGTCAGTGTTGAAAAAGGCCTTGAAGCAGAAAGATAATTGAAGTAACCCCGAGGCAGGCACTATATGTATAAGGTGAGTCTGAGCTGCCACAGCACTGCCCACCACAGCAGTGGCTAAAATGAGGGGTGAGCTGAGGGGATGTGATGTGGGACACCAGAGACAGTGTCTTGTTAAATTCTTTTAACAAGAATTTAAGCCTGCTTCCAGGGCTTTCAGTGACTGGCCCCATGCTAGGATTTCATACGTGAGCTTAATAAGACAAAGGGCTTCCACATCTCAGATATTACAATGGCCCCAGGCAGGGGCTGTGTCTCTCTCCAGTGTATTTAGAACATCATTTAGCTCATAGCCACAAACCAAATAAACAGATTTGGTGGTGAGATTCACTTTCGCTTTTTGAAGAGTTTTAAATGTTAGTTTTCAAAACAACGAGCAGCAGTAGCACTTGTAATAATAACAATAGCAAAATTCACAATAGCAGCACAGGTAGCTCTTGCTACATACCAGGCTCTCTTCTAAGTGCTTTATGAATATCAGCCCTTTTCATCCTCACAATAATTCAGTAACGTAAGTACCATTATTATCAGTCCAACTTTACAGACAAGGCAACTAAGGCACAGAGAAGTGCTGTGCTGAAATTCACCCAGGGTGAAACAGACAGTGGGATGCAGGATAAAGATTCAAACCTATGAACTCAGAATCCAGATTGTGTGCTCACTACCTTCTACTTCTCTAGGCCTAAAGGAAAACCTGAGCATTTCTTCCACCTTCCAAGTATATGCATCCTTTTCATGTCTATTTCGAGCACATTCAGGTATTACAAGAGTCTCAGTCAACGCCAAGTGGATGACGATTTTGTTTGCTTCTATTCCAAAAGTGAAAGAAAATGCAGAGCTTATCCAAGGAAACCCCAACTCTAACCTGCCTCCCCTTATTTTTACCCTCTTACCCATACTTACAGAAGCTCTAAGACAGCAGAAGTTCTGCCTTTTGGACAGTGACATGTCACAGGTGGGTAGTGAATGAGCAGATTTCAGAACCTCTGTTCACTCAAGGGGCTAGGAGCACAGGCTCTGGACCTAGACTGACTTGGTTCAAATCCTGACTCACATAAATTCTCCAGCCACTGGTTTCCTTCTCTGCAACATGGGCACTAAAGAGTGACTAATTAATTAGATAATATTTGTAAATTCCATAGTACAGTGTTTAAGACACTGTGGAAATAACATAGTAGAGCACTGGCTATTATCATTATTTCTCCCCACTACCATACACTTGCATGGGAAGAGCCCAAACTATTAACTTAGATGTTCATGATTCCATTTGAGAATGAACAAAATGCTATGAGTAGGCTTCCCTCACAAATGCACATATCACACAATTTTATATACAGTCTCAGAGACATTATAACCCACTGAGCATCCTTATGGGCCACATACAGACATCTCTAGGCAGACCACGTAAAGTTATCTGATAACTCCCATATTAGCCAGGAAGTTTTCTCAGAAAGTACAGAGTGACAAAAAGCTGCATCAACTGCTAAGAACAGTGAGACCAGACAGAAAGAAAATAGAAGAAGCTTCTGTCATGTTTTATCCCCCAATAATTATAAAATCCCTGTTACCATCGAGTGACAAGGCTTACAGCCAGCACATTTAAAACTTTCATTAATTAAGCTGAAGGCAACATTAACTTACTTCAAATAAAAAAAAGAAACCCTCAAACTCTCTATACATGAAGGCTAACACAGATAATCAAATCAGCAAACGCTTCAAAAATTTCAACATTAAAAGGACTCCAGACCCTCACACCTAACATAGTCCAATGGTCTGACCTGAGGAAGCTTTTTTAAAAACCCAAGATTACTGAAGGACAGTGATAGCTAAAGTTTCTAGTGAATCAAAAGAAAGCTTTTTTTTTTTTTTTTTTTTTTTTTTTTTTTTTTTTTTTTTGGAAAAAAAAGTGTTGTTCTTTGTCAGAGTATAAACTCAGGGTAGATATCCTCCTAGAGCATCTGGTTACAGAAAGCAAAAGTGGCTTATTGCAGTGGGACAAATAACCAGTTTATTATTCAATCTGAAACCAAATTTCAGGTGAACAATCACGTGGATTTAGAAATACTTCCCATGGACACAATGTTAAACCAGTTGGTTACTAAAGGCAACTTTAGACCAAGCCACTGTGTTAACTGGGAAGAGATGAAATCATGCTGAATGAAATAGATTCAACCATTTAATGAAAACTATCAAGGGCAGACCATCTCTTTTCAGAAAAGTGAAAAAGTCTTACCAGACTGGAGATCACTGCAAACATGTCAACCCACTATGTCTCCTTGGGCAATATAGTAGGGAAAGTTCTATGTTATCTCAGGCAGGACTCCTCTACATTGGGGCAAAGTTGCGCAAGAGGAAATGACTGTTTTCCATTCTCTCCATGTTCCTCTTCAGTGTCCTTCATCCGTGTGTTTTTATTGGACAACATCCCTCCTCCCCAGGTACTTTGAGAAATATGTAAACCAAGTGGACCCTTTGCCAAGCCCTTAGATGCTATTCCGAAGGCAACAGCCCAGTCTCTGTGCTCCTGTCGCCCCTTCTCCCTGGTGAGTGCCTCTACTTTCCTCCACTCTTCTGCACTCACAATGCATCTTAGCATCTAAGGATGCAAACCTAAGAAGGAGCTTGATGGAGTGTCATCAAGAGAGAAATCATACATTTTCCTAAGGCAAGAGGAAACATTTGTGCAAGAAATGTCTGGGGTAGGGAGGAAAAGAAGGAAGGGAGGAAGGGAGGAAGGAAGAAATCTACAGACAGATTTTTGGAAAAAAAAGGGTTTTTTTTTTCTTTACTGCTCTTTCTAGTAGGTTAGCCACCTCTCCCTAATGAGTCATGAAAATTTGGTGTATGTGTGTGTGTAAAACATATACATATTTAATATATATAGATGTAAAATACAGATGCACATATGAAAATGTAAAAATCTAGTGTATAATACACACATACACACACACATACACACACACACATATATATATACACACATATACAGAAATGACATGAAGCAAGTTATGGTAAAAGCAACTGAAATCTTCATATAAAAATAAATTTCTTATTTATTTCAAGTTCTATTTATGGGATTATAAGCAACTTGCTTTTTTTCAGGCTTTGCCTTTTACAAAACAAATGTAAAGTATGCCAATGACAGACTATTAGGTTTATCTTGACATTGAATTTCATTAGGGTATGGTCCTAAATTCATATTTAACTCATTTTCTCTCCTGATACAGGATTAAGTGTTCCTGTCATGTGGATTGCTTAAGTTGCACATTTACATCTAGATCCATATAATCTTTTCATTCTATTGTCTTCATTTGCGATTCTTTTTCAATCTTCACTTCCTCTAGAACACATGTGATTATTTAATTTTTGATAACTGGCATTACACAGAAGATAAAACATTCTTCTGGTCAAGTGTGTTTATAAACATTTTGAAATTTGTACATTGCAGGGGTCACTTCTCCTAGTGTTGGTGTCATTGCCAATGGGAACATGAAATGCTGGCCATATGCTGGAATGGGAAATACTCAAAATCATTAGGAAAGTTAAATTACATAGAAAGCCTCAGAATTAAAAAAAATATATAAAGAACAGTCATATCAGAGACCTAGACAGAGAAGAGTATCATGAAAATTTGACTCTTGAGTTAGACAGAATGAGGTTTGAATCCCAGATTCAGACCTCCATTTGTTTCTTGGTAAAATGGAGTTAAAAAGAGTACCCACCTCATGAGATAGCTGTGAACGTAAAAGAACAATACAACGAAGGGCCTAGCAGAGTGCTTTGTTTTGAGAGTATATTGAGTGTTCTATAAACATTAGTTGGCATTATTAATGAATGCAAAATACCTCAATATAGTTATAAACATCCTGCAATTAATCTTCCCTCCTCCCAGCAAAATTACAGAACTCATTCCAGGATGCCTGCAAAATTACAGATACTTTAAGTAAGAACCACACTTAAACTTTGGAAGGGATGGACACCCCTCTTTGAATTCATTGTCAATTGATATAAATGGCAGTGTATGCTACGTTTTGATAGATCTAGATGACAAAGGTATGATGTTGAACAAAATAGTAAATTATGTACATTTATATACTAGTATTTTTATATTCAGCCATGAACACTACATAATTTTAAAAGAATTAGAAAAACTCATGTTATTGAATTAGGGACATGATGAGAATTTAGTATCCCAGCTGGTTCATTTGCACTCCAAACACACTCTGTTCTTATTCAACTACAGCCTGTACATTCAGTTCAAGAGTGTTCTTCAAAAACCTTGTTAGTGAACTTCAGATTTCTTGGAACACCAAAAATAAACTTGCATATGTGAAAGATCCAGTGACACAGAATAATGAGTTCTGCCAGGGTTTTCAAAAACACAGGGAAATCGTCTTATTTTCTCTCTATCATTTAAAAATTATTGAGCCAGAATGACTTGAGTTAACTCATAGGAGCTCTGGTTAGGAGTATATACATAGTATACACACACACACACACACACACACACACACACACACACACATTAATGTACATTTGAGAAGTCTAAATTAAAATGTGTTCTGTGAATAATTAGAATAAGATGCATTATAAAAAAGCATTTTTCAGCCTGCATTGAAACATTATGAGCAAAGAGAAATAAAATATACTTTTCCTTGGAGAAATCTATATTTTGGCTTTTCATCCCAATACTGATGACTCAGTAATGGACATGAGCTGAGACAAAAAGCGACTGTAAGCAAGAAGAGACTATTGATTCCAAACAGGAATTGAATTTGTGATTTAGGCCTCCATCTAAGTCATGTATGAAGTTCTTAAATGGTCTTTAATTAGCCTCCTCAGGTATGTGTCCATAAAAACTGGAAATAATCATCACATTCCTAAAGGTGATAGGTACCTGGGAAAAATATATTAATGCCTTTAGTATTTCAGACAGTTCTCTTTATTTTTTTAGGAGAATGAAATCCCCTGAGGAGATCCCCTACCATAGGTTTCTAATAACGATCCCCAAAGACTCATGAGAAAACATGCTTCTTCCATAAACTTTCATAAAACAGCAGGCACACAATAAATATCCGTTGCACAGAAACATGAAGTTAGGTAGTGCTTTCTCTTCATGTGGCCCTTTTCTTTAAGTTTGTGAACCTCACCACAGGTAAGATGAGGCTGTATCATCTCTGTAACCCTCTCACTACAGCAAGAGATTTACATAGAAATATAGAGGTTGGCCACGTGCAGTGGCTCACATCTGAAATCCCAGCAATTTGGGAAGCTGAGGTGGGTGGATCACTTGAGATCAGGAGTTCGAGACCAGCCTGGCCAACATGGCAAAACTCCATCTCTACTAAAAATGTAAAAGTTAGCCAGGTGCAGTGCTGTACACCTGTAATCCCAACTACCTGGAGGCTGAGGCATGAGAATCACTTGAACCCAGGAGGCAGAGGTTGTAGTGAACTGAGATTGCACCAGTGCACTCCAGCCTGGGCAACAGAATGAGACTCTGTCTCAAAAAAGAAAGAAAGAAAGAAAGAAAGAAAGAAAGAAAGAAAGAAAGAAAGAAAGAAAGAAAGAAAGAAAGAAAGAAAGAAAGAAAGAAAGAAAGAGAAAGAAAGAGAAAGAAAGAAAGAAAATGAAATATGGAGGCTTACTATGAAAACTGAATGACAAACTCTTGCAGGTAGGCAGGACCACTTGAGTATTTTTTACTGCTCTCCCACATCCTACCCTGCTCTGACTTTTAAGGATTTCATAGTTCTCTTAAAGGAAGAATGGACTGAAAACACCTAGCAGACATTTGCATATGGATGCTCCTTTTTTCCCCTTACTTTAACCTAGGTTAATAGTTCTCAAACTTGAGTATGGAGTATACCTAAAATTTACTTTATAGAGTTGCAAGACACTAGGGTATGTATGGGAAACCCAAATAGCCAAAACAATCTTGAAAAAGAAGAAAAAGGTTGACGGTCCCACACTTCCTAGTTTCAAACTAATTACAACTACAGTGGTAAAAACAGTGTGGTACTGGCATAAAGATGGATATATAGACCAATAGAACAAATTAGAGCACTCTGAAATAAGCCCTCACATATCTGCTCAAATGATTTTTGACAAGGGTGCAAGATCATTCAATGTGAAAAGAACAAACTATTCCACAAATAGTGTTGAGAAAACTGGATATCCACACGCAAAAAGAAAAAAAAAACGAAGTTGGACACTTACCATATACCATATACAAAAATTAATTAAAAGTGGATCAAAGACCTAAACTTAAAAGCTTAGAAGAAAGAATAGGGGAAATCTTCTTGACATTGGATTTTAGCAATGATTTCTTGGATATGACACCAAGAGCACAAGCAACAAAAGCAAAAGTAGATAAATTAGACTACATCAAAATTAAAAACTTATATGCACCAAAGGAAAAAAATCAAGAGTGGAAAGGCAATGTATGGAATGAGAGAAAATATTTGTAAATCATGTATCTGATAAAGAGTTAATAGACAGAATATATAAAATACTCCTACTGTTCAACAACAGCAACAACAAAACCAAACAGCTTGATTAAAGATTAGGCAAAGACTTGAACAGATGTTTCTCCAAAGAAGATATACAAATGGCCAATAAGCACATGAAAAGATGCTCAATGTTAGTAATCATTATGGAAATGCAAATCAAAATCATAATGAGATACTACCTTATATGTATGGCTACTATCAAAAAAAAAACCCAAAAAAAAGAAAATAAGTTTTGGCAAGGATGTGGAAAAATTGTGTCATTTGTACACTGTTGGTGGGGATGAAAAATGACGTTGCCCCTGTGGAAAACAATATGGTGATTCCTCAAAAAATTAAAAATAGAATTACCATATGATTTGGCAATTCCATTTCTGTGTATATACCAAAAAGAATTAAAGCAGCATCTCAAAAAATATTTATACATCTGTGTTCATAGCTGCATTATTCACAATAGTGCACAGATGGAAGTGACCCAAATGTCTATCAACAGATGAATGGATAAGTAAAATGCATTATATACACACAATGGTGTATCATTCAGCCTAAAAAAGGAAGGAAATCTTGCTATATGTAACAACATGGATGAATCTTGAGTACATTATGCTACGTGAAATAAGTCAGTCACAAAAAAGACAAATACTGCATGATTCTAGTTATTTGAAGTGTCTACAGTAGTCGAATGTATAGAAACAGAAGGTAGCATGGTGGTTGCCAGGTGCTGGGAAAGAGGAGGAAATAGAGAGTTGTTGAAAGGTATAGAGCAGGGGTCCCTAACCCCTGGGCCACAGACCAGTACCAGTCCGTTACCTGTTAGGAACCGGGCCATACAGCAGGAGGTGAGCGGCAGGTGAGCAAGGGAAGCTTCATCTGTATTTATAGCTGTTCCCCATGGTTCGCATTACAGCCTGAGCTCCACCTCCTGTCAGATCAGTGGCAGTATTAGATTCTTATGGTAGTGAGAACCCTATTATGAAGTGCGCATGTGAGGGATCTAGGTTGTGTGCTCCTTGAGAATCGAATGCCTGATGATCTGTCCCTGTCTTTCATCACCTTCAGATGGGACTCTCTAGTTGCAGGAAAACAAGCTCAGGGCTCCCACTGATTCTACATTATGGTGAGTTGTATAATTATTTCATTATATATTACATTGTAATAATAATAGAAATATAAAGTGCACAATAAATGTAATGCGCTTGAATCATCCTGAAACCATCCCACCCTCGGTCCATGAAAAAAATTGTTTTCAACAAAACCAGTTCCTGGTGCCAGGAAGGTTGGGGACCACTGGTATAGAGTTTCAGTTTTGCAAGATGAAAAGCTCATGAGATTGGTCACACAACAGTGGGAATATAATTAACACTAGTGAACTGTACATTTAAAAATGGTTATGGTAGTAAATTGTATGCTGTGCATATTTTACCACAATTTTAAAAAATGTACTGGCCACATAAAGATCAAAGGTAATTTTAACTATATGAAAACTTTCATTATAAATTGATGAAAATTTTTAAGACATAACACTTACATTAAGCTGTGATTCCACTATACTTTCAGGCTATTTGTTATTGTGTTCCCTATTTATAAAGCAATATAATTACGATCAACTATAAACATCACCTAACCCAGATTTTTCTGGTTACTAAAGAAGAGACTGTGAAACTCTCATTTGCAGAAGTAGCCCACTGCCCAAGGTTATATAGAGAGTTAACGGGTTTAAAAACCTAGAAATAGTTCACTGTGCTTTTGCTATCTATTGAAAGATAGTGTACTTCATCCCTGAATGCTGATAACCTATCATTAAATTCAGCTGGGGATTATAGCAAATCATACCCGCTACTCTAATATATCACATCCCATCCTTATTAACTTGGCTTTCCATTTAACTTGTAATCTGATACACTGTTGCCACTCCTCTGAGAATGAAAGCGAGCTTGGGAAAAAATCTCATAGTATGTAATTAATGTGCTCCTGAGAAGTTTTGCGTAAATTGATTCATATCTTCCCATATCTCATTGTACTTTAGCATAACCAAAACCCCAGACTGGCTCCAAGGGAAAATGAAGGGTACTTAATAATGCAATGAGGAGAGTAAGTTTCCAAGAAGAGACCACAGTGTAATAAAACAATTAATTAAGGCTAACATGGAAAAAGAAACTTATTTGCGCAAAAGAGAGCTGCTGAGAGGCACTAATAAATGATTATTTCATTCATTCAGCATTCAACACATGTAGAGAGCCCACTCTACGCTAGCCATTTTTCTAAATCAGAGATCAGCACGTGGTTTCTGTAAAGGGGCAGACAGTAAATACTTTAGGTTTTGCAGGCCAGATGGTCTCTGTCACCAACTACTCAACTTGCATGGTGGCATGAAAGCAGCCATAGACAGTAAGTAAATCAATGGGCAATGCTGTGTTCCAATACAACTTTGTTTACAAACCCAGGCAGGTGGGCTGGATTTGGCCCAAAGGTCATAGTTGCCAACCTTTGTTCTGTGCCTTGGAAGACAAGGGTGAACTAGGTCCAGAGGTCCTTGTTTTCATGAAGCTTATATTTTAGCAGAGATGAGGGGGCAAGCAGACAAAGATAAATAGGTAAACAAAATAGTATCATGCGATATTGACAAATTTTGATGACCTGAAACTAGGGTAGAGCTTGGGGAGCATTACTTTTTAAAAAGTTCTCCAGGTGAGACCTCTGGTCAAACAACCTTTGTTTCTATAACTATGGTTGGGAATAATTAGATTGTTAATGTTAATTTCATTGAAAGAATAACAGAGAAATAGCGAAGTTGAATGAATGATCTACAAATAAATTAGCTTCTTCAATATACAAAGGCCAACATATATGTGCATTATAAGTAGCGTGGCTGATTGAGATACTTACACTTTATTTATATAAGAAAGCCAAATAAAATTTCCTTATGTGTATAATATAAATATCATGTTAATCTTTAAGGATTTCTCAGATTTACATTTTTTGTTTGTTTGTTTGTTTGTTTGTTTGTTTTTGCGACGGCATCTTGCTTTGTCGCCCAGGCTGGAGAGCAGTGGCGCGATCTCGGCTCACTGCAAGCTCCGTCTCCTGGGTTCATGCCATTCTCCTGCCTCAGCCTCCCGAGTAGCTGGGACTACAGGGGCCCGCCACCATGCCAGGCTAATTTTTGTATTTTTAGTAGAGACGGGGTTTCATCCTGTTAGCCAGGATGGTCTCACTCTCCTGACCTCGTGATCCGCCCACCTCGGCCTCCCAAAGTGCTGGGATTACAGGCGTGAGCCACCGTGTCCAGCCCAGATTAACATATTTTTATTAGAGGGTGGTCTTCCATATCATTACTAGAGGGTGGTTCATCCCCAAATTTTATTTTTACAGAAATGTTTTGTGGTGACAACAGGACATGTGTTACACAAGGATTACAAGCAATTCTAATTCATCCCTAGTTACATTGAGCAGGCTTTGAATTAGATAAACAATCATCTTGTCACACACAAAAAAATAGGATGGGGAGCAGCACATGGGAATAAACCAATAAGGTGTAGGCATCTCCTGGTTAGCATTCTGCTGTGTTTTCTGCTGACCGGTCTGCAAAACTGAGAGACAGGGCCACGCCTCCGGCATGACTGACCGTTCAGGGAGCAAGAAACAAAGCACTCTAAGGAGCACCTTAGCTAATGTGGGTTGCTACTCAAAATCACATCAAAACCTCAACCTGTTCCATTAAATGACTGTGAGAATAGTCATTTCTCACTAATCCTAGGGCTCATTATTTGGTCTGTATGCCAGAACTATTGTACTAGCATTCTACTTTTACACTTAGCACCCCAAAATGATAAAGAAAGATTTAACGCTTATCTGGCCAACCCATTTTTTTGCTTCACAGATGACATAGTAGCGGTATCATCTGGGAAGCAATAATGGGCTGATTGGGTTGTAAGCAACAGATTCACAAATGCCACTCTTGAACTCCCATGATGCCTCTCTCTCTTTAACAGTTTCATTATGGAATATACCATGCTAACAGTAAGTGCATAACACATAAGTGCACTAACTAATTAATTACCGTATAGCAAACTGTCATGTAACTGCCACTCAAGTCAAGAAATAAAACTTTGCCAGTGTTCCAGAAGGCTCCTGGCTGTCCCTTCCCAATTATAATCTCCTCTTTCCCTTCTAAATGTAACCAGGGGTTCTGACATTTTTACTTATCACTTCCTTGTTTTTCTTCATACATTTGTCTTCTATGAACTATAAATTATGTTATTGTTTATTTTTGCCTTACTTGCCTTGTTTATTTTTAAGCATTATATAATTGGAATAATATAGCAGGCATTCTTTAAATCTGACTTCTGTTGCCCAATATTCACCATGTGAGTGAAAAATTAACTGTAATTTTTCCTTTTCACTGTTTTATAGGATTCCATTATATGAGTATATCACTATCCATTTTACAATTGATGGACATTTAAGTTGTGTTAAGTTTAGGGCTATTATAAATAATACTGATATGAACACTCATATATATTTCTTAGTATACAAATGCACATAGCTAGATATGAAATTGCTAGTCTGTAAAATGTTTGCATTTTCAATTGTATTAGCTAATGCCAATATTTGTCAAAGTGTTTCATACCAATTTACACTCTTACTAGCATCATGTAAAATCGAAGTTGCTCATATCGTTTTTAGCACTTGGTATTGTTAGGCTTTAATTTTAGTTATTCTGGTAGCGATCTCATTGAAGTTTTGTTTCCCTAAGGATCAATGAGATTGAGCATCATCTCATAAGTTTATTGGCTCCTGTATATGATCTTTTGTGAAGTAACTTATTTTAAGACCCTTGCCTATTTTTATCATTTAGCTGTTGCTGAGTGACAAACTATTCTACAACTTAGTAATTTAAAACAATAAGCATTATTTAGCTCATAGTTCTTCTGCTCTAGGCTAGGTTTAGCTAATTGTGACTGGTCTGTGGGGCATATACAGGCTGAATGGGGGCTGGATGGTCTAGGACGGCCTCACTCACATGTCTGGCAATTGGCCAGCTTAGGATGGGGCTGTGGGGAAGACAAGGCCACGTCTCCTACGTCCTCCTGTAGGCTATCTGGGATCCAAGAGATCTAAGGGCACGGAGAGATCTGTACCAGACCAGCCTGGCCAACATGGTGAAACCCTGTCTCTACTAAAAATACAAAAATTAGCTGGGCATGGTGGCGGGTGCCTGTAATTCCAGCTACTCAGGAGGCTGAGACATGATAATTGTTTGAATCCAGGAGGCGGAGGTTGCAGTGAGCCGAGATTGTGCCACTGCACTCCAGCCTGGTTGGCGGAGTGAGACTCTGTCTCATAAAAAAAAAAAAAAAAAAAAAAACAAAAAAAACTACACCCCAAACTGTCACACTGTCACTTCTGCTGCATTTTACTGGCCAGAGCAAATTACACAAGACTCTACCTTTTGATGAGAGTTACTGCAAAGTCACAAAAAGTATGGATAAAGGAGGAAATGAATGGCCAGGGCCACTACTGCAACTAATCTACAAACCACTTTTCTATTGACTTTCTTTTTTTCTTAATACTTTGTAGGAACCTTGCATAGGGTCTTTATACAAACCTTTTGATGATTATTTTCATTTCATATTTCTTCTTCCATGCCGTGAGAACCTTTCTATTTTCGTTATGAAATCATTTAATGAAGACAGGTTTTAATGTATCTAAATGTGTCGATATTAACATTAATGAATAATATTGAGTCCTATTTATTAAAATCTTCCTCTATCCAAGCTTATATTCTCCCATATTTTATTTTCAATCATTTACTGTATTACCTTTCACATGTAAGTATTTGATTCACCTGGATTTGATTTTTGTAAATGGTGTGAGTCAGGTGTGCAGTTTGCTTTTTCCATATGGATTTCCAATTTTCCCAGCACCGTTTATGGAAAAGATCATCACTTTCCTACTTCTCTGCAGCACCACCTTTCTCTTGAATCAAGTGTCCTTATGTGTACATGTTTATTGCAGAAATCCATTCTGTTCTATAGCAATCTTTGCCTATCCTCACAATAACATAACACTGCCTTAGTTACTGTAGTGTTCAAATAAATCTTGGGATCTGGTGCGAAAAATTGCTCTCAGCTTATTGTTGATTTTCAAGAGTGTCTTGATTAATAGGGCTTTGTATTTCCATATACATTTTAGAATCAGCTCACCAATTTCTAAAATTCTACCTGCCAAGTTACTGATACACGACATTGAGTGTAAAAAGTAATCTAAAAAATTAATTTGAGAATAATTGATAGCTTTAAGATTAAATTTCTTCCAGTCTATGAATATAATATATATTTATGTGTAGGTCTTTTTCATTTCTTTAAATAATGTTTTGTCATTTTATTGATAGGAACATTCCATATCTTTTATAATTGCATTCTTAGTATTTGATTATTTTGATAATATTATAAACGGTATTTTTAATTCATTTTTTTCTGTTTATTTTTGGCATAGAGGAATTTAATTGATTTTTATATTTACCTATTCAGCAACCTTGCTAATATCACCTATTAATTATTTTAACATCTGTCAATCATGAATGTATTATTTCTTCATTGCCAATCCTTATTTTTTTCTTGCATTACTGAACTATCTAGGGCCAAGGATACAACATTAAAAAATAATGTTTATAGCAGGCATCTTTTGTTAGTCCCAGACTCTAAGGGAATGGGGAGGGGGTCAATATTTAACCATTAAATATAATATCTATTTATGGTTTTGGCCAATATAATGTATTAGATTAAAGAAATTATCTTGTTGATTAGTAAGAACTTTTAAACTCTGAAATAATTTTATCAAACACTTTTTCTGTATTAATTGAAATGATTTTCTTCTTTTATTCCATTAATGTGGCACATTACCCTTAAAAATTAAGAAACATTAAACAACTTTGAATTTCTGAATAAGCTCATTCAGCAGGATGCATAGCTGAATTCGATTCGCTAATTATTTGTTTAGAATTTCTACTTCTACACTCATGAGTTAGACAGGACTCATAATTGTCCTGTCCCGTAATTCCTTTTTTGAGTTTTGTTGGGAGGGGCCCACTGACCACAGGGAACAGATGCCCACTGTTAAAGCTTGCCTTGCTCTGTCTCTTCTCTATATGAGTATAGCATTTTTTTTTCATCCAGTGCTTCACTGTGTTATTTTCATTGGTGACTCTGATACCAAGATGCAATGGACAGAAGTGCTTGAACTTCTACTCCTGATAATAGGCAGCAGACGTTGATTACCCAACAGTCAGTGTTTTTATGGAGTATCTTTTCCTATTCTTTTAGTGAAATAACTATCTGAAAAATAACTGGCTTTTAATTGGGGCATTTAATGCAATTATTAATGTATTTGTAAACAATCTACTAAGAATACTACTAATGTCCTAACAATCTACCAAGAATTTGTCCTGCCCTACATTTCTTCTCTCTCTCTCTCTCTCTCTCTTTCTCATGTGTGTGTCATGGATTATTTATTCCTACTATTCTTTTTAAGAATTATAATACACTTTTTGAAATTATTTTATTTGTTATCCTAAAGATTAAAACATATTTTCTTAGCTTAGCATAATCTAATGCTGATTAGTGTTTTTATTTTTACCCTCTTCCTCAGAATTTCAAGAAACTTAGAACACTTTTGCACAATTAATCTGATGTTTATGCTGTAAGTATTATATATTTTAATTCTGCCTATGTCATTTATATTCATAATTAATTTACCATTTTACTCTGAATCCCTTCTTAATTCTTTAAGTTTCTCTCTGGGAACATTCTTTTTCTGTTTGTAAGATCTTTCTTTAGTTTTTACTTTGGGTATTATTGTCAAAAATCACTCACTCTTCATCTATATATATATTTATTTTGCCCTCCTTTTTGAAGGTTATTATTATTGGGCATGGAATTCATGGTTGGCAGCTTTCTTTCTTTTGGAACATTGAAAATATCAGCTCATTGTTCTTCTGGCTTCCATTATTTCGGTTGAAAAGTCAGCTACTAGTAGATTGCACCTACCCAAAATGTGGTCTAGGAAATAGCAGCATAATATACCTGGTTATCTTTGATTATGTTTTGGACATTTTATTTTAAATGTTGCTTGTAAAAAACAATTTGATCTGTAGTGGTAGCCTATATTTCTATAGGAAAGATTATCATTTTGTTTCAGCTTGGCAGCTATGCCCTAGCAGCTCAGGATCACATTAATTCTAGAGTTAGAGATTGAGATTTGGGAGGAGGGGGGCATTCAAACAACTCTTACTGTGATGAAGTCTTTGTGATGTCTGCTTTACCTTTGGTTCATCCTTGTTCCCAGGGAACCACCCACCTTTCAGGATCCCAGACCAAAGCAGAAAGGGTTTATAATAGAACCCACCAATGGTAGGCTCTGGACTCCAAGTTTTTTTTTCATTTTCCAAGCACTATGAGCTATCAAAATTACTTTTATGCCAAAGAACCGCCTCTTTTAGATAGGAAGATAGCCATAGTTTATCTCTTTCTTTCACATTGTACATGCAATTCATCACCAAGTCCTCCTGGTCCTACCTCCAGAATACATTCTTAATGCATGATGGCTCTCAATCTGCATTGTGTGACCTAAATATTGTCCTACCTTGCCTCCTGGTTTCCACCCTTGCCTTTCTTAATCCATTCACTAAACAAATGTTTAAAATTAACCACATACGATTCTTTGAATATCTAGAGGCAGAAATACTATTTGACCCAGCAATCCTATACTGGGTATATACCCAAAGGAATGAATATAAATCATTCTATTATAAAGATACATGGATGTGTATGTTCATTGCAGCACTATTCACAATAGAAGAAACATGAAATCAGCCCAAATGCCCATCAATGATAGACTGGATAAAGAAAATGTGGTACATATACATCATGGAATACTATGCAGCCATAAAAAGGAATGAGCTCATGTTCTTTGCAGAGACATGGAAGGAGCTGGAAGCCATTATCCTGATCAAACTAAAACAGGAATAGAAAAACAAACACCACGTGTTGTCACTTAAGTGGGAGCTGAACCATGAGAACACATGGACACATGGTAGGGGAAACAACACCCACTGGAGCCTGTTGGAGGGAGGAGTTGGGGGAGATCATCACAAAGAATAGCTAATGGATGCTGGGCTTAATACAAGGTGATGGGTGGATCTGTGCAGCAAACCCCCATGGCACACGTTTACCTATGTAGCAAACCTGCACATGCTGCACATGTATCCCAGAACTTAAAAGTTGAAGAAAAAAAAGAAAAAATAATAAAACTAAAATTGGCCACATAATCACATGAATCATATTATGAGGCTCTGCAGTTTAAAAATCTCTAACAGCTTCCAGTTGAACTTGAAGTACTTTGTTTTTCTAACATCAGACTTCTTATTCTGGTACTCAAGGCATTCCATGGTTTGGCCTCTACCATTCTCTCTAAACATACTGAAATAACTTTTGTTCTATGAATAAACCAAATTAGTTCCTTCCTTAGTTTATTTGTACTCATAGTTTCCTTTATCTGAAAAACAACAACAACAACAACAACAACAATTTTCTTAGTAAATCTCTTTCTTCATAAATCAAGAGGAGCAGCCTCCTCTTGGTCATGCAGTTTCTCCTGGAATATTACCTCTTCTAAGAGGCCTTCACTCATCATTTCAGCTAAAGTCTTCCTCCTTTACCAATGCTCTTGTGCATTACTCTATTTAATTTTTTACATAGCATTTGCCACTTTGATATTCTTTTTATTCCATGCAATTAAACTTCAGTCAAAGATAATCTGAAAATATTTTTTTTCCAATTTAAAGAAGTATGCCTGAAAATGGCATAATTGATTAAAAAATCAAGTCAATATGAACAGATAACACATGAAAGTATGTCGCACAATGATGCCACATTGCTGAAACGGAGAACACACAGCACTGGATCTTACACATAAATCATCAGCCTTCCTATGGCAATCTAATTTTCTTCTTTTCTATCCTTCACTCCAAATCTCCAACTTAATATAACCCAATTTCCTTCTCAAGAAAACACCTTTTTTTTCTTTTCAACTCAAAAATCTGCTTCTAACCTATCCAAAGGGACTGTCACAGAAGCAAGCAAATAATCGAGTCAACAATGCACACCATAATAGAGAAAAACTTTAAATATTCATTAACAGGGCTTTGGCTAAGTACATTTAGAGCTTCATTATATGCATCCTTGAGGAAGATCTGTAGGTATTTTCATGGAAGAAGTTAATGATAAATTAGCAATTGAAAAAAAATGTGTAGAATATGGCAACATGATAGAATTTTTATTTTTAAAATCTCTCTGTATATACATATATATGTATAAGTCACTTCTACAGAGTGAAATGGGATTGGTTAAATATTATTTTCTACTTCTAGATCTCTGTTTTTAGTATTTCATTTACATATTATGTTTTTATAATAATAAAAGACAAATTAAGCTACTCAGAAATTTTAAAAATCATATTCTATTTTGTTTTGAACATTTCATTTAGGTATATTTTTATACCTTCATCTAATCAGCAATGACAGTATTCTCCAGATGTTAAAAATTACTAATGTGCTTGTCAAGCTTTATGCTGTCTAGATTAATTTGTTCCTGTCTAGTTTGGCAATGATTTCCAGGAACCTTAATCCCAGGGCATTCACCAACAAATGTTGTGGAATCCCAAGCCTAATACCGTAGGCACAGTAGCCAGTGGCTAGAGTGTGTCATAATGCTTAATTCACTACTTTATACACACACACACATGCACACACACACACACACACACACACACCTTCAAATAAAACATCTTTCCTACTATCTTGGCTTTATTACATTGAATATTTCATAGAGAAAAGTTACTTCATGTAAACAAACATTTTTGTCTTTTTTTTGTCTTGGGACCATTGATGCATTAGAAAAATAATATTTAATACAATTCAGTTCAACTAGTTTGTTGCATTCAAAAGGAGCTCTCACAGCTCTTATCTAACAAGTTTCTACTTTTTTTGACGTGAAATAAACACTTTAGAGGACAAAAATAATAAGCTATTATATACCATTTGACACATCTCTCTCATAAAGTTATACAATAATGAAAGGTGAAAGGTGACTTCTGTAAAAGGTGATTTTTATAAAATCCTTAAACAACCTGGTCAGAAGTATTAGAACATAATGTGATTAGAAAAACAAAATCCAATCAGCCTGTCATTTTCTGCACTTCCTCACCCATACGTTATAGCATTGAATCACCAGGGTTTGGCATGAGTAGGTAATGTAGTTCTTAACAAGTATTTAACAGAATTAGTACCCTAATGACTAGGGCAGAACCATCCAAGGGCCTCTGTAAAATCAACAAAAACACAAGTGGTAAATTGGAATAGACATTAAATTATGTGCTAAAAGACATTTGCTCTTTGAATTTGGATTTAAAACTAGACTCTGTTAATTGGTGCTATGTCAGAGTATCAGAAATCATATTAAATGCAGCCACTCCTGGAAACTTAATTGAGAGGGAGAATTCTAAGCTCTTTAGTCTCATAAAAGATATGACATATCTCTAAAATTCATTTGATGGACTAATAGCAACTATAGCTCGCTTGACAGTTCAGAAGTACCTTTCAGGTCCAAACAATTGTGACAATTGAAAACATTAGAAGAAAATACTGTAGAACCAGATCCCAAAGAAAAGATTTAGCTTCATTCATGTTTGTGCTTTTATTTTTAAAGGAAAGAGAGTGTGTGCTTTTGCATATATCAGTAGTTCATTATGTTTTGTTGCTGAGTAATATTTCATTTATAAATGTAATAAATTTGTTTATCCATTCACCAGTTAATAAACATTTCCATTGTTTCCAGTTTGGGGCAAGTATGAATAAAACTGCTATTAACATTAATGTACATGTATCTGGATGAATATGTTTTCATTTCACTAGGACTAGAATTGCTGGACCATATGGATTACTTTACTGGTAGACATTTAATAGTTGACTCTTCCCCTTTCCCCAAAACAGTCTCTGATTTGTAGCATTTGCCAATTCCTGCAGTGTAAATACTCCTACTCTAAACCGCTTCAGTCTCCCAACATGGCATCACTGAATGTGGAGTTAGAAATAGATGTGCATGATTGGCTCCTATGAACTGGTAATGTTTGGCTGCAGCACAATGCTAGTAATATGGTAAATCTGTATTTTACTTTATAAGAAACTGCCAAACTGTTTTTCAAAGGTGTTTTGACAGTTTGCATTCCTACCAACAATGTATGAGAGTTTCAGCTCCTCCACATATTAGCCAGCGTTTGATGTTTAGGGGTTTTCCCCTTTATTTTAGCCATTCTTTTAGAGGTATAATGTTATATCTTGCAGTTTTAATTTGAGTTTCCCTAATGACTAATGATGTTGAACACTTTTTCTTGGGTGTAGTTGCCTTTTTCTGTATTTTTTTGTTGAGGTATATGTTCAAATCATTTGCCCATTTGGTTTTCTTAGTAGTGCATTCTGATAATGTTTTGTAAATTCTGAATACAAGTCCTTTAGCAGATATTTCATTGTAAGCATTTTCTCCCAGTCCATCGACTTGCCTTTTCACTTTCTTAACAGTGTATTTTATAAAGCATAGATTTTTGTATTCATAAAGCTTAATTTACCTTTCATCTTTCATTGTTTGTTCTTTTTCACCCTAAGAAATCGTTGCCTTACTCAAGTTACAAATATGTATTAGCTATAATTTCTTCTAAAACTCTGATGTCCAACACAACAATCACCAGTCACATATGGTGCCTTAAATTTAAATTAAATCAAATCAAATTAAATTAAAACTTTAGTTCCTCAATTATGCTAACCACGTTTCAAGGGCTCAATAGCCTCTTTGGCTGGTGGCTACTGCATTGGACAGAACAGCCGCTGATCACTTCCATCATTGTTCAGTATTCCACTTGGATAGCACTTTCCTAAAAGTTTCATAGTTCTAATTTTATATTTAGTATTTTATATATTTCAAGTTAATCTTTGTATATGGTGTGAAGTATGGCTAGAGTATTTGTTTGTGGTTTCGTTCGTTCTTTTTTTTTTGCATATGAATTCCAAATTGTCCCAGTAACATTTTTGAAATCTACTTTTGTGTTTATCACCATGTGATTTTTGTGTGTGAAAGTTAGATAGAAGGGCTTTCTTTTGGCATTTTAAAATTTCTTTTAAACAAGCATACCTGGGAATAAAATATTAGATATTGAAAATTGTGGTTGAATTAGGCTCATCAAATTTACCAAGCAACACTTGCATTACCTACAGTAGGCTGTCTCTCAAGCCAACACCAGTTTCTGACATATCCTGTCCACAAGTCTTTAAGGGATTAACCTGTAAATACCAGATAGATTAGGCCTGGTTTACATAGGGAGGCAGCTGAAATCTCTTGCAAAGAAATTATTGAATAATCTAATCAAGGTAGGAAAACATCACTGTATCCCCTTAATAGAGACATAGAGACAAGCCTCTGCAAATGATCCTCTGTTAGTGGCAAAAAAGTGTGACTGTATTTTTTTAATAAGTTTACTTAGCAGAAAATAGTTATTTCTCACGTGAAATTTGGTATTTATCTTCTCCCATTTTAATTCTGCTTTAGATTAAACAAAGTAAATACTTGATTCTGTGTTTTGTCACAATACCTTCTATGGTTGTTGTTGTTTTTCATCTCTTTTGCTTTATTTGGTCAATTTTGAAAAACATATTGTTTGCTTAAAGAGCAGTCATAGGATTAAGATAACCTCACCTTGATTTTGTGATATTTTTCAAATTCTGGTAACAATAAAATAAAACATGTTTGTTTAACTGGCTGAACATTTTAGAGTCTAAAAATTATTTTGACACGACTGTGTTTCTGTCCATTTGCAAAGTCTCAAATGTTAGGGGACTCTATGGTACTACTGGAATGTGTGCCAACCAATATTTTTGTTTTGATACTGATATATTTTGAATGTCCCCTCCAAATCTCATGTTGAAATGTGATCCCCAATGTTGGAGGTGGAGTCTGGTGGGAGGTATTTGGATCCTGGGGCAGATGCCTCATAAATGGCTTGGTGTTGTTCTCACAGTAATGAGTTCTCATCCTATGAAGATTCACATGAGATCTGGTTGTTTAAAAGAGTGTGGCACCTCCTTGCTCTCTCTTGCTCCTGCTCTCACCATATGATACATCAGATCTCCCTTTGCTTCCACCATGACTGGAATCTTCCTGAGGCCTTAACCAGATGCAGATGCCAGCACCATGCTTCCTGTACAGCCTGCAGAACCGTGACTCAAAATAAACCTCTTTTCTTTATAAATTACCCAGTCTCAGGTATTCTTTTATTGCAATGCAAAAGCAGACTGCTACAGACACATAGTTTAGAGGAGGGGTCAACAAACTACTTTTTCCCACAAAGGATAGATAGTAAATATTTCAGTCTTTGCATGCCCTAAGGTCTCTATCACAACTATTCAACTCTGCTATTATAGTACAAAAGCAGCCATAAACAATGTGTAAACAAATGAGCTTGGTCATCTTCAAATAAAACTTTATTTATTTATTTATAAATAAAACTTTATAAAAGGCTCTGGGCCAGAGTTGGCTTCTAGGCTATAGTTTGCCAATTCCTGGTTTAGAGTTACAGATCTTTAGTTCCACTCCCTCAAAAAAGAGAAAATTCATTTGAATGTAATTTGTTTAAAAATAAATAAAATTTAATGACAATATATTCCATTTAAAGCAGACTATATATATTCTAGGAATGTGATATTTTTAACCACAATAAAAGTAATCAAATATTGTTTTTATATAAATAAAAAGTAATAAATTTTTCTGTTAATATATTTTACAATTTTTACATATATTTTCCACATTTAAAATTTATATATTTTATCATACACTTGAAAAGATAATAAAGACTTAATTGAATGATGTAAGAATTCTTAGACAATTGTCCTTGTAATTATTTTATCTAAGTTCATCACCCTAGTAGTTAGCTAAATAAACACAATAGACCCATATTAATCTGAGTTTTTTTAATCCCCTCTGCCTCTTAATGACCAGAATCAGACTGGTATAAAGTAGCCATGAGTACAGAATGTGAGAGTTATTATAATAAGAGCAGTAAAGACTAATTATTATACACAAGATGATCTAACATTACACTTTAAATTCCTGTGATGCACTGGAGACACATAAAGGATGAGTCAGTAAATCAGGCTGATGAAAGACACATGCAAATAAAGTGGGAAACTTAAGTCAATGGGAAGAAGCTGTCTGAAGACCTGGGTTCAAATCCTGATGCTACCTTCATAGGTAGGAACTCTGAGATTCGAGAAAATCATTTGTATTCTCTGTGCATCATGTTTTATCATCTGTGTGATGAGGTAATAAAAGTACCCACTTCATAGGTTCAATGAGAACTGAAGGTTGTGATTCATGTAAGGTGTTTAGGACAGAGCCTGGCACATAACAAATGCTCAGTGAGTATTAGCTACTGGTATTTAATTATTTTGATGATGATGATGGTGGTGGTGGTGATGGTAGTAGCGGTGGTGATGACAATTAGCGTGCTAAAGCTTAAAAGCTTAGCAGATTCAGGGAATTCTGATACTCTTCCAGACACTTATTAATTCAACATGAGTGAATTATACTAATCTTGTGGCTTTTCCTCTGAGCTTTTCTAGGTGACTGGCTAATAAAACAAATGCATGCAAATATGTTAATTGATTCTGCTGAATAATAAAGATGTATTTTCCCCTTTAATAATTATTCATATTTTAACAAAAATTTAGTGTCTGAACTTAGGAATGAACAGCTAAGGCTGGAATTACTGTGACATATAATTAATAAGCATGTTTAAAAACAAGGAAACCTTTAACCACAATTACCATACAACACTTCCTCCTCAAATATGTTGGGTCAGCCCTTCCTGCAGCCTGCAGCTAATTCCCCTGCACTTTCTCCTAAAAGGTGGGAATTAACAGTTCTAACCAAATCTGCCTCAACACTTGCAGGGCCTGAAGCAAGAGTACAAATTGAAACTTCTGAACCCACTTCCCCTCATCCTCACCTCTGGCTCCAGCCTGCACTGCAGGGAACAGAACACATGACTTTGGACACCAGAGCCCTTTATCTCCAAACTTGGGTAATGCATAGTCCTTGGTCACTCCATGCATGCATGCACACACCCAGCATTCTTCTCTGACCTTAAGAGAATAAACTCAGGGAAGAAAGAAACTGGAAACAGATTCAGGGCCACTTATGCTGAGAATCCTAGGGTCTCCAGTACCCAGAACATGATTTGGGTAGGAGGACACTGGTTCTGGATGGACACAGCCCTTGGCCCAAGCATTCTTAGTTCATAGGAGCACAACCATAAGAAAGCCAGAGCTGGACCCTTAAGCCCAAGACCTTGTGCCAGGGCTAGTTGGCCTGGTCTAAAGGTGGTACAGACTGTAACTAATTGAAGAGAAATCTAAGAATCCAAGAGGTTATATAACTTGCCTCCTGGCCAATGGTAAAAACAAGTTAAAAGCAGAGATAACCTGCAAGTTCAGGCATCTTTTTCCTATCTACTTAGAAATGTACCAATAAACTTATAATAATCATAGTATATAACAGCAAGTTTGACAATTTTTTATAGGAGTGCTGATCCGAGCCTCACCCCTGGGTAAAACTCCAGGAATTCAGTATGGGAAAAAATATGAGAGCCAGCCTTCTGTGCATTTTAACGGTTAATTCACATTAATGTTTCTACTTGGTTCCCCTATTAATTATGGTAGGGTAAAAATCTTGCTATATACATAATTGAATGGTTGGACAAAGAGCTACAGGATGTTGCAAAATTGTAATATCACAGTTACCTGGGAAGTAGATAATTAAATGGTAGTAAAAAAGTAGCCTTTTAAATCTTAATCAGAGTATTTAAAGAATTGGACAGAGGTTTTAGAACTTTCATAGTAGGAGAGTTAACAGACTTTTAAACGTTAAGAGATGCCATCGGCCTCACATATTAGGCCAACATTGACGTTTCTACCTAAAATGAATTAGCGTAAGAGGAAATAAAGGAAGCATTTCCACTGAATCTAAAGGCATAATAACTTCCAGAGTCAAAATGTCAAAAAGGTATCAGCTACTCTAACACCTTCACCTTTATTCTTGTAAAAAATGAAACAAAATCTGTAATGCATTTTTATTTTTGACAAGACACTTGATTAAAAAATTGGTCTGACCCTACCGCACCTTGAAGAATCTAGACCTACTTAGCATTCTTCATGCAATTTTCTCTATCTGGAACCATCCACTTTGAGATCTGTGTTAATCTGGGTCTCAAAAAATATGCTTAAGGAGTAACTGGTCACATAAGCATCAGGAGTTGTCCAAAAGTAAAGAAAATTTCTGCTTGGATATAGGAGGAATTTGCCAGTTTTTGGAGAGCACTCCATGACATGACTCTACTCTAAAATACCTGAAGTCTTCCCAAGAGAAACCGTCTCCAATAGAACCTAGCAATGGTCTCAGTTCTCCATTGCATTTCTCAGCCTCAGTCTTCTCACAAGACATGGGAAGTATTGCTTTTTAGTACTGCTTGTGTGCTCCTTTTTCCTCTTCAAAACATGGAAGGCTATTCCTACTGAATAACCTTTTGACTTGTCATTCAAAGCCTTTGAAATCACACCTTCATCCATGTCCCTACAAAGGACATGAACTCATCATTTTTTATGGCTGCATAGTATTCCATGGTATATGTGTGCCACATTTTCTTAATCCAGTCTATCATTGTTGGACATTTGGGTTGGTTCCTAATGCTAAATGATGAGTTAATGAGTGCAGCACACCAACATGGCACATGTATACATATGTAACAAGCCTGCACGTTGTGCACATGTACCCTAAAACTTAAAGTTTAATAATAATAAAATTTTAAAAATATAATATAAAATAAAAATAAAAATAAAAAAAGAAATCACACCTTCAAGCCTTTGAAATCACACCTACCTTGAGGGCCTGACCTCTCCTATTTCCCATATCTAAAATAGGGGTCTGTATCAGAGGATGGAGGGTGGGAAGAAGGAGATGATCAGGAAAAATAACTAATGGGTACTAGGCTCAATACCTGGGTGATGAAATATTCTCTACTACAAACCCTCATGACACAAGTTTACCTATGTAACAAACCTGCACGTGTACTCTTGAACTTAAAATAAAAATTAAATAAAATCAACCTCCCACCAAAACAAAACAAAACAGGTGTCTAAACCTCTAGTGGCTAAAGTGAATGAACAGGTAACTAAACATGTGATGCTGGCTAGGTGTGCCAACATATATTGTTTTCCCACCTTTTGTTCCTGCTGATGGCTATATCACGTTTTGTCTTGTGCTATCGTAATGGGTATCTTTCCTACATCATTTCCTAGGCTGGAGGATTCTTAAGAAGAGGGATGAAATCTCATTCATTCCTGATTTCAGAGCAGAGTATCTGAAACACAAGGTATGTTCAAAAAATATCCCTTTATTGAATTATTGAAAGAGATATCAGGAAATATGCCTTTATTGATTAATAGATTTATATTGGGTCAATAGATAGCTGGAATCATTGAATGATAAATGACAAAAGAATGCTTAGAATGGAATTGAGCTGAGTGGAGTCTAAACATGCATGAAAGACGTATTGACAAGCAGTATCAGACACTAAATTTGGAAATGAGATTCAGAAAGCAAAAGACCAATCTGGTGGCCATGACAGTCCCATGCTAAACCAACACCCTCTGTTGCCCAGGCTGGAGTGCTCTTGGCCCATTGCAACCTCCACCTCTCAAGTTCAAGCAATTGCCCTGCCTCAGCCTCCCAAGTAGCCAGCATTACAGGCCCTGTCACCATGCCCGGCTAATTTTTGTATTTTTAGTAGAGACAGGGTTTCACCATGTTGGCCAGGCTGGTCTTGAACTCCTAACCTCAAATGATCTGCATGCCTCAGCCTCCCTAAGTGCTGGGATTACAGGCATGAACCACTGTGCCTGACCTTTCTACATGTTTATAGCTTTTGGGTTTTTTTGCTTTTTTAATTCAATTTTTATTTTATATTCAGGGATTGTACGTGGAGGTTTGTTTCCTGGGTATATTGAGTGATGCTGAGGTTTGGGTATGATTGATCCCATCATCTAGATAGTAAGCATATTACTCAATAGGGAGATTTTCAGCTCTTGTCCCTCTCCCTCCCTCCCCTTTCTAGTTGTCCCCAGTGTCTATTATTTCCACCTTTATGTCCATGTGTACCTAATGTTTAGCTCCCACTTATAGGTGAAAATATGTGATATTTGCTTTTCTGTTACTGTGTTAATTTTGCTAAGGACAGTGGCCTCCAGCTGCATGTATGTTGCTGCAAAGGGCATGGTTTCATTCTTTTTTATGGCTGTGTAGTATTCCATGGTGTGTATGTACCAAATTTTCTTTGTCCAATCCATTCTTGATGGGTACCTATGTTGATTATATGTCTTTGCTATTATGAATAGTGCTGCAATGAACATACAAGTGCATGTGTCTTTTTCATAGAACAATTTATCTTCCTTTGGGTCTATACCTAGTAATGGGATTGTTGGGTTGAATGGTAGTTCTGTTTTTAGTTCTTTGAGAAATTGCCAAACAGCATTCCACTGTGGCTGAACAAATTCATTTTCCCACCAAGAGTGTATAAGTGTTCTCCACAGACTCACCAGCACCTGTTGTCTTTGACTTTTTAATAATAGCCATTCTGACTGGTGTGAGATGGTAGCTTATTGTGATTTTGATTCACATTTCTCTGACGATTAGTGATATTGAGCATTTTTTTCATATATTTGTTGACAATTTGTATGTCTTCTTTTGAGAAGTGTCTGTTCATGTCCTTTTCCCACTTTTAAACGGGGTCATTTTGGTTTTGCTTATTGAATTAAGTTCCTGATAGATTCTGGATATTAGACCTTCCTCAGATTCATAGTTTGTGAATACTTTATCCCCTTTTGTAGGTTATCTGTTTACTCTATTGATATTTTCTTTTGCTGTGCAGAAGCTCTTTAGTTTAATTGAGTCCCACTTGTCAATTTTTGTTTTTGCTACAATTGCTTTTGAGAACTTAGTCGTAAATTCTTTCCCAAGATTGATATCCAGAATGCTATTTCCTAAGTTTTCTTATAAGATTTTTACAGTTTGAGGTCCTAAATTTAAGTCTTTAATTCATCTTGGGTTAATTTTTGTATATGGTGAGAAGTAGGAGTTCAGTTTTATCCCTCTGCATGAGGTTTGCCAGCTACCCCAGCACCATCTATTGAATAGGCAGTCATTTTCTCCAGGGCTTATTTTTGTCTGCTTTGTTGAAGATCAGATGGTTGTAGGTGTGCAGCTTTATTTCTGTGTTCTGTATTCTGTTCCATTGGTCTATACATCTGTTTTTGTACCCGTACCATGTTGTACCAGTTACTGCAACATTGTAGTATAGTTTGAAGTTGGGTAATGTGATACCTCCTTGTTCTTTTTGCTTAGGATTGCTTTGGCTATTAGTAATATGCTCATAGCATTCGTATCTCCCTCTACCATAGCACTTACTACCCTTCATTGGAATAATTTGCATAAGTCCGTCTCTGCCCACCACCCTATCTTTTGCTCCTCCAAGCAGATATCTCATCATTTGACTGGCACAATGCATTGCATATCACCAGAGGCCACTAAATATTTGGTGAATAGATGAATCAAAAAAGAAGATCCTAGGCAGACACAGGCCTAGTAAAAACTCACTAAGATATAGAAGTTAATGCCTTTATATATTTACTTTTATTCTTTCCATTTTATGGTATTGGAAACTGAACCTCTGGGAGATCTAGCAACTTCCCCCAAATCAAAAGACAGAAGTGGCACAGCATAATAGAAAATTCTGCTCTTCTTAAGAAGACACCAGTCATTTAGATGCATGTAACAGAAACATTTAAAAAAAAACAGTCACACCTTAAAATATCTCGAGTTGAGAGGTTGTGCTTTTTTTCCCCCATTTGATGCATTCAATTATTGACTTCCATCACGATTCTGTTAAAACACTGAATCTACTGCAAGTTTCATTTGAAAGGAATAACATAATTCTGCACAGTGAGACCACAACAGGTTCTTTGCAGTCAACAGTAGCTACAGGTATTGACTGTCCATCATGTGCTGGTCACTAACAAGAGCATCATATGCATAATTTTCTATTTCACAATTGAGAAACCTGAGGCTTGGGAGGAATAACCTGTCAACACTTTCAGGCCTGGCAAATGTGGAAGTAGGATCTATACTCTCATTTACGTGACAATGGGGGCCATATTTTATTGTGCCATGCTGTGGGAATTCTCTTTCTGAGAGCATCTGCCTCAACTCTTTATTCCCTTCCCTGCAGGAAATCAGTCCAGCACTGTACATTTCCATGGTCCTCTAGTAATCCTTCTTTCATAGCTCTTAATCTATTTTATTGTGCATACACTCATTCAACAAGTATTTATTGAGCACTAAGTCCCAGGCACGCACTGGGCATAGCAGTGAACAAGATAGACAAAATATCCTGCCTTACCCCTCTGCCAGACTATAAGCCACATACAGGCAGGGGACATGTTTGCCTTCCTTCCTCTCATATCTTATTGAATGAATAAGATCATTAAATCGACATGGATTCAAAACACTAAGTAACTGCTTTGAGACAACAGAATACAAACCCATATTATACATAGAGCCATTTCATCCAATGCTCACTTTAGGACAAATGAGAAGTGTTTAGTATTGGTGTGCCGTGCAGCAAACACAGAACCAAACACAAATGGGGAAGGAAAACAGAGACAATAACTTGTTTTGTTTACTCTCACATAAGTAGAAACAAACTGCTCTTCAACCTGAACATAATTGTTGTGGCCTTGAAGCTGAAAGGTGTTCATTTCAAATAAGGGCTACTATGAGAAAAAAAGTTTCATGTATAAAAACGTATGTTAATGAAGCTGAGATTCTGTAATTACAATCAAGTGAAACCCAACCCCAGGTTACACTTCCCATTGCTTGTGTGTCAGGCGATCATTTCTCTTATGATATATTCATGGTGAACACAAGGTCGGAAAATGCATCTACAGTGACAAAAGACAATTCTTTTGCTTAGGAATCATCCCAGAGCATCTGTTATTAAATCTCTCAGCTCACAGAAGCACAATGTAGACAGAAAGGAACACCTAGTGAAAGAAATATTCAATCAGGCCCCAGATACCATTTTACCTGCTGAAGGTGCCTAGGGGTATACACCTGCTGGATTGTAATTAGGTGTTTTCAAAAACTCTCCAATCTATCTGATTGCTTTCCACCATTACCTCTGAGAATAACTTTCCCAAACTCTCACTTCTAAGCTATATAAAAGTGCTTTGCGATTCTAATTCTCTTAAGGTGCAGGGTGTGTGTGCATGTGTATTTGTGTATTATCTAGACATACTCCATGTTAATGACAATGTCTTTCTTGTTAGACAACATGCCTCTATAATAGGTGTTAACTTAGCCTGTAATTTAAGAGTACAGGCTTTGTTGTCCTATATCCCAGCTTGGCTGTGAATACAAGCTGTCTGACTTTGGAGAAGTTAACTAACTTCTCCAAGCCTTAGTTTCCCCAGCTGGAAAAATGTAGCTAATGCTCCTACCTTACAGGATTGTTGAAAGAACAAAATAAGATGATGTATCCAAAGCATTCTTAATAAAGGAAATTCTCTGAAGTCAGCTCTACTATCTTGGCAAGTCATTTAGCCTCTCTGACACCAGTTTCCTGATCTGTAAAATGAGAACATTCATTCATGGGCAATTTTGCCAGGATTAAATTAATTAATATGTGGATGGCAAAGATATGGAATAACCTAAGTGTCCACCAATGGATGAATGAATAAAGAAAATGTGGTACATATGTACAATGGAATACTATTTGACCATAAAAAAGAATGAAATCTTGTCATGTGAAGCAATGGGAATGGAACTGGAGATCATTATGTTAAGTAAAACAAGCCAGGCACAGAAAGACAAATATTGCATGTTCTCACTCATATGTGAGAGCTAAAAAATTTAATCTCAAGGAGGTAGAGGGTAGAATGATAGAGAGTAGAATGACAGTAGAATGGAAAGTGTGTGTGAGTGGGAGGGGGAGAATGAAAAGAAGTTGGTTAATGGGTACAAACACAGTTAGATAGAACAGTTAAAAACAATGTATTGCATATCTCAAAATAGCTAGAATAGAGGTTTTGAAATGTTCCCGACACATAGAAATGATAAATGCTTCTGGTGATGGATAGCCTATCTACCATGACTTGATCATGACACATTCTATGCATGTAACAAAATATTATGTGTACCCAATAAATATACACAAATATTATGTATCAATAAAAATAAACAAGTAAAGTTAAACATACTTCCTTAAAATTAACTAATTAATGCATGGAAAGTGCTTAACACAGTGTCTGAGATGACACAGTAAGTAAGTGCTCAATAAATGTTACGAATTAGTAGTGTTGTTACTTTTATTATCATCACTATCATCACCACCATCATCATTATCATCACCAGATAATCTGATTAAGGGTGAGGACCATGTCTTACAAATATTTCCTCAGCCCATATTTTGGGAAGCTAAATATTCCTTAAAATCTGTGAGGGCTATCATGAGAATTTTTGGGTGAAAACTCTGCAGCATAAAGACATAACACCATGGAAAGTGGGTCCTGATTTTAACAATAAGACATTAAACCTATTACATTAAAACCCAATATTCCAGGACCAGCATAGAAAGCTTTTTATGTCTGAGTGCCTACAGGCTTGAATAGCACGAAGCAAGGGTATCTCTTTGCAAAAATATTTCCAAATAGCATTCTTTGAATTGATAAAAACTGTTTTTTAAAATGACACCACTTAAATGAAACTCAGAGATATTTCCATTTCAACTGATATCAAGATCAAAGGATTGCATCTCATGGGATGTCAGAAATGAGAGAACTTGTAAGTGGCAGAGGTTAGAACCTAAGAGCTATATCAAACGTGGGAAGAACAGGAGTGTCCAGGGAGCTGTAAACCCACTTTGGAAAACAGCCAATCAGATCTCTCTGGCTGGAAGACAAAGAACCAGAATGCTACCTGCCTGAAACCAAGCCACTTAAGGGCCTCTGAGAGGGTCACAGGCCATTTCCATGATGGGTGACCTTGTACAGTCTGCCATAGGAGTAATTCTCTGGAACTACCAACAGTTATTCTACAAGATGACTCCTTGTTAATCAGAGAAAAATGACCAACAGGAGCTAAAGCAACTTCCAGTTATGATAGAGGACCAAGTTTGTGTTCAATTTCTTTTTTCTCCCTTCTCTTCTCTGACTTTTCACATCACCCTATAGGTTAACACCTGTGATAGTGAAGCAGCAAGAACACTAACATCCACTCAGTACTTGTGATATAAGTACAACACTGTAGGGTAGGTGGCCATATCTCTATTTTACACTTGAGAATACTGAGGCTCATGGGGGTTAAATAACTTGCCAGAGCTAGGATTAGAAAAATTGATCTCTCTCCTTCTATCCTTCCATGAGAACTGGCTCAGTATGTCTGTTCCCTACTGTAACCTCAGCACCTAACTGATACTTTCTAAGCATTCTTCAGCAAATATTATTAACAATTCACTTTCTCAGATACAAACAAAATCTGACTTTCTTAATATTTGTCATAAAATGCACGTAGGAAAGTCTGTTTCTTTTATTCCTTCATTTAACAGATAGTTACAAGTCCCTACTGTGTTCCAGGAACTGGAGATACCTCCGGGAATATAATAGACTAAGAGCCCTGCCTGTGGACCTCATCTTCTAATTGAGGAAGTGAGACAGTAAGTAACAAAGTCAATAAATAAACAGATTACTTAGGATGCCAGAGAAGGATTCTTTGGCTCAGAGAAGATGAAGAATAACAACACCCACAAACCCACCAAAGTTGGAAATCATGATGGATGGAATTAGAGTTTTTTTAGGTATCATATTTTTGAACATGTTAAACTGGTATATTTTTTATATTTTTCATTCATCTTAAATCACAGTATCCTAGGCATCCACCCCCCACTCTAATGGGTTTCAGCACCTGAGAGAAAGAACAGGCATCATCTACAATAACAAAATCCTTATACATGTTGACTGTCAAATTAGATTTATTTTGAGTCCATAACATGAAAATAGTTTTGACAGTCAGGCATTGTCAAAAAGAGAAAAATATATGTAAATTGCAAAAACTTCCTTTCCATATCAAGAGACAGGCCTGGTGACTAGATCTATGAGGTTTTTCTATATGCCATGGGTAGAGGAAACTCAGGATAGAATATACTGTAAGTTCTCATTTAAGGGGGAAACAGAGAATGCTTCCAGGTGATAAGAAACTTGGATTCTTATTTTTCATCAACCTTTATCCAACTTTGGTAGCCAATCCTCAGGGGGAGTAATAAAAACACAAGATATATTGATATGGGATGCCATAAGCAGCTTTCCACCTATAGCTCTGGGGGAATGCAACTAGCAATATGCAACCTTCTGACCTGGAGCAGCTGCAGAAGAATACAAATGGCCACATCACATAGTCAGACAGAAAGTGACCCATTAGACTGACCTACCTCCCGAGATCCCACCACAGTGCTGCAAAGATTGGGATGATTGGGATAATATAAGAAAGATCTAAAAGTTTCTGGGATCTCTTAGGCACAATAAATAGTAGTTGAAATTTAAGAACCAAGAAGGGCCTGCCATGGGTGTGCTAGGGAAGTTTTTAAGGTCTTCCTCAGAGCTGAAATAAGGGGGATGGAAACTAGTTTAACATCATCATGGCTCAGACCCAAAGGTAGTGAAATTAGACCAAGTTATGGGACAGGAAAGAGGAAGTAGGAAGGAAAGCCTAGGTGGGAAGAACACATTCATCAGCTGTGAATTTGAGAGACATATACAGAAAGAGGCTCAGTGACCAGGCCGGACAAGAATTAAACTCAATGAAGGCCAAGAAGAGCCCAGGTAACAGTCCAGCTACAGCTCACTCCAGCATTCTTTCCTCCAACACTGAGAGTACACGAAAGCTTTTTTCTTTGTTTAATGCCACCCAGGATTTTGAGGAAGGACAGGGAAGACTTTCGAGAGGAAATAAACATACATAAAGTGAATTTCATTTATTAATCTGACTGATTATGTATCCAAAAGAAACTGAGCTAACCTGAAAGAGACTGTTTAAAACTAGCAGGTAATAAAATACTTAAAATTAAGTTTTTCCCAGCCAGCCTTGTTCAGCAGAGACAATAAAGCTAACGGAGTTGTAGTGTGTAAATCTTGGTCTCTGGGTTAAAGGGATACTAACTCAGCCATTATGATTTATCCTGCCTTCTTCTGTATGCACATGGGGGCTGCTGATTTTATTTTGGTACATTTGGGGAGTGCGATTGCTATTCTGGTGGGTGTCCAGATATTAGGAGTTTCTGTTTATGACTTCTGAGAGCTGTTTGTTGGAAAGAAGTGTTCTTTTGCCTGCTAATGTACCTATAAACTCTTTAATGAAAACTGCTTAATAAGCCCCATGAAAGATTTACCTGAGATGGAAGGAGGAATTTACTGGCAGAACATGACTCACTTTCCTTCCTATTTTCTTGTCCATTTATCACTGGTCTAAAACTCTTCTTGAAAAGTTGAAATCTCTCCCCACACTGGTATCTGTTCTTCATAGCTTCTTCCCAAGAAGTCGTCCTTCACCCAAAGCATGTAAGAATATGTGCTGACCTCCACCTTCTCAGAACCTTTTTCTCTAAATACCACTTAGGCTTCTAGATCTTTCTGACTTTTTCTCTATAACAAGTCACTGTTGACTGAGCTATTTTCCTCTTCAGGTATATTTACATTTTGTCAGGTTTTATCCCAAATCTAGAATCAGCAGTTCAATCAGGGATAAAGTCTTTAGGCATCAGAAAAAAAAAAGGTGTGTGTTTCATTCATTAATGCTCTCAAGCCAAAGACCAATAAAAATGCACCTTAATTTGAACAATGTTGGGTTTATTCACTTGCTGCAATGAGGGAGAGCTGATGCCATTGGGACTGAGGTGAGTTGGGTATTAGAGAGGGCTTATTACAGAATTTGGGCTTATGTTTTGTGATTTGGGAGATAATTCCAGGAAATGGGACATTGCTTTGAACTGGATGTTGTCTAGAAGCTGGGATAATTCTGTGACTGGGTATCTTAATAATTCTTACTTAGGAGATGAAAACACAGGACAAGGTGAAAACTGTTAAGGAAACCAGCAGTCATTCAAACTGTTATAGGAGATACTTGGTCATTTTTTGTGGCCTGGAAAATGTTTATGCTTTTGTCTGTGTTCTTAAATGATTAGAGTTCTTGTCTCGATCCCAGCATCTCAGCATGGTCTTGTGTGATATTGATGTTCTGTGAAATCGTTTGGGTTAGCCAGGTGAACATGGCCCCACTGCATGTGTGAGGCTGGCTCCTGCCTCTCAGGGCTGCTTTTTTCATCCTCAGTTTGCTCATTCATTCATTCATTTGTAGTGGTTTATCAAAATTAATGAGTATATAATTCATTGATCTGCTTGCTTGATTTTGATCTGTTCCTTATATTAGAAAATAAGCTCTATAAAGTCAGATACCATGTTTGCTTTGCTCATTATTTTATACCAAATGACTTTTCAGTGCCAAGAAACAAAGCACCTGGCAGACTGAGGAATCTTGGAAGGTCTCAAGTCAGATACTGATAATTAAGTTAAATATTATGATTTAAAGCACTGGAGAAGTGAGAATGGATAGAAAGTCAGCCAGCTATTTTGTGCTCCAAAAAGCCAAACTTTTCAATGGAAAAAACAATAAACATACTAACTTTAAGATATACCATTTGTTCTCAGGGCTAGCCATAAGGGCATACTTCTTTATTAGACTACTTGTTTCAGATAACTGCCAACCTATTTAAAATGCCCAATTTTCAATGTTCCATTATCCCCAGAGAGAAGTCTGTAGGTGTCCTTGGTGATGAAAAGAAAGGTTTAGGGAAATACTAACTTATATTGTCATTTTATAGGGTAAATCTTTCAGCTAAGATTGTCCAGCTGATTAGAACAACATTAGACAACGAAAAAGTGTTCCTCATCAAGAAAGCTATTCTGAAGCAGATTATTTCTTCAGACTTGATTTCAAGACATTTCAGTGCTCTCCTAATACTTAGCTCAGATTGGATTGTTTTAAAAAATATTATTTTTCCCATGTGTCTGAACACATAAATATTCTGGTTGTTTTGTTAGCTGAGAATCTTTCTGAAGATAACAGATTTGGATTCAAAGAAGCAAAAGTCTTACTAACATTGATTTTAAGCAGCATTACCACTAACTTCCTGGTTGTCTCTGACCCGTCTTTCAGAAATGCACTTCTCTCAGCTGGGCAGATTAATTGATTCTCTCACCCAAGTAAAAGGCATCCAGCCTCTTTGAGTGCCAGACACTTTGCCAGATTCCATAAAAACAGTAGTAAATAGCAGGTATAATTTTTGCCCTCTGAGGTTATAGTCACAAAGGACAGCCAACATTGAACAAGGAATCACTGATGAGCTGAGTGTCACCCATGAGAGGCACAAAACACCACCAGACATGCAGAATTCCTATCCAGACCCACAGAGTCACAGGTGGAGGGGAACAACATGGGGTACAAAGCAGAAAAAACAGCACTGGCTAAGATGTCTTTTCATGTCTTGTGGTTTTGAGTTGTGGTTTCCAATCTGACATTTATAATTCTAATGATACCAAATCTTAATGTAAAAATGAATTGTTAGTGTCCTGGTCATGATATTATACTACAATTTTACAGGATGGTACCATTAGAGGAAACTGAGTAAAGGGTACACGTGATCTCGCTATATTATTTTGTACAAGTGCACGTGAATCTGTAAGCATCTCAGAATAAATGTTTGATTCTAAAAGACAGAAACATATCTTGCAGGGATTTGTTTGTTTTATGTGTTGGAGAGAAGACTCTTGGGTTATTAACCAATGACAACTCAGCTGTCACAACTCCAAAAACACTGAAATTCTCAGCTATTTGGATGCCTGGCTAACATTAGTTGCTCTTCACATCTTTGGTGATTGAACGAATGAAGGAATTCTTAGTGAGTAGAAGGGCTCAAGCTGCTAACCTCAACTGCAAAGTCTTGGTCATTATAGTGAAATATTCACTTCGTGTTTAAGAGGGAATCTTAGGAGGTCAGCCAGCCAATTTCATTCTCAGAGATCACACGTATAATAGCTCTGTGAGTCATGAACATGTTTTTAAACTAGAAATTGTAATTCAAGCCAGTGTTGTTTACATTTGTCCCTTTAATATTTTATCCTTTATTCCTAACAAGACCTAGCCCAGACATTGAGGGACCAGCTAAATACAGATGGCTGAATTATTAAAAAGGATTCTCTCTGAGTGCCTCAGGAACTACACAGGCTTTTCTAGTTAACATTTCCATCTAGGCAAGAGGGGTCAGGACCACATTTCAACCACAAAGATTGGAGTTGGCAGAGTCAACCATGATAATATTCCCCTGGAATTCATGGCTTGGGTTTCCCTGGAAGGTGTAATTAATAACCCGCATGCCTCCAACTACTAATATAAATAAATGTCTGGTATTTGCCTTCTCTCTTATACCCTACACTGAAACCAGATAAACTTCTTTTCTGTCTTTCCCAAGATGGTCCAAACCTCTGAATTAGATTTAAAGAGTGTTCATGTTTATTAACTAATTAATCACCAATCTGTCCACCTATACTTCCATCATTGTAATGAAGAGGAACAGCTAATGTTTATAATCTACTTGCTACATAACAGCCAGTGTGCTGAAAATTTTATAAAATTCATAATATATCATTTAAACTTCACAAAAAGTATTACCTCAATTTTACAAATAAGTAAATTCAGGCATATCAAGATTAATTGCCTTACGATCACTTAGCCAATACTGAGAACTCCCAAATTTAAATTGCTAGCCCTGAACTTTCTCTTGAGTTTCAGGCTCACATATCCAGCTTCATATTCAAACATTTCCAGTTGTATGTCTAATAGGTGCCTCAAGCATAGCACGTGCAAAACCAAAATATTGACTCTCCTCCCCCACTCATCCTCATGAAAACCTCAGGACACTCCACTCAGTGAATGGCAGCCACCATATAACCAGTTGATTGGGCCAAAAACCGTAGAGTTATATTGAACATCTCCTTCCCTCTCCCCCTACATCCTAGTTACCAGCATGTCCGATCAGCTCTACCATTACATAGAGCCAGAATGTGGCCGTTTCTCACCATCTCCAGTGAGACTGCTGCAATCTCTCACCTTGTCAACAGTAATAGCCTTCCAGCTGGTCTTTCCACTTCTGCATTTGACTTTCTACAGTGTATTCAAACACATATAGTGAAGATAATCTTTTAGAATTTTATATATCAAATCACTCCTTGGCTCAGAGCTCTCATTGTATTTGTTGTTTTGCCATCCCTACCTCTCAGCTTGGCTTTGACAGATGGAATCAATATTCATAACAGGGTCCTTGACCATTTCACTGTTAACTTCCAGTAAAAACAATGAAAAACGCACAGGTTCAAAATTGCTAGACTGACAGAAACTAAGAAATTATCCAGCACTGTGCTCTCATTTTCAGAGCAGGAAACTGAAGCTTTGGAATATTTGATGACCTCCAAAGGTCAAGTAGCTAATAATTAGTTGAACTTGGTTTCATATTGAAAATCCCTGGCTCTCAGCCAGTGCTTTATACGTGATGTCACACTGTTTCCACCTTCCTGGTTGCTCTGAGCGGAAACCTCTATATGTGTCAAAACCACAAATGATCAAAAAAACCAAAATCTATGAAAAGATAAATTCTGAGCCTGATAGCACCAATTTACTGTGGCTGTGGAGGCAGTCTGACAGTATGATTGCTATATTATTTTTCAGCTAAATTAATATAGGCTATGGATGCTTTGTGAGTACATATTATTATTTCCAAGTCCACATTATGGTATGATTTATGTAAAATATTTTAATAGCCTTGGGAAGTAATAGCCAGCTGTGTTAACCTTGTCACTGATGATAAAGACTGTCTCAGCAAAAATAAATGTTGTTACTTCAAACTAAATGTAAATGATCTTGTTTTATTTATTTATCATAGTAGTACCGAAAGACAAAAACATGAGCTGTGTCTAACATGGTTGTAGTCCCAGAACCTGGCACACAGTATCAGCTCAATAAATGTTTATTGAATGAATAAATAAATAAGTAAATAATGTTTATACAGAAATGCCTATAGTAGAAAAAAATTTTTTAAATATAAAAATTCCAATAGTAAGAGATCGTATATATAATTCAGGGGACATTCACAAAATGAAATAAAATTCTCATGAAGTAGAGGTATATTTATTGGCATGGAAAACATTCAAAGTATGTTGCTTCATTTAAAAAGTTGGTTATGAAAAGTTAATGTTTAATATAATGCTATGTTTTAAATACAAGGATGGATGGATATATGGACAAAGGGAAGAAAGGAAAGAAGGGTGGGAGGGAGAGAGGGAAGGAAGAAGGAAGAATGGAAGGAAGGAAGGAAGGACGGAAGGAGGGAGGGAGGGAAGGAGGGAGGGAAGGAGGGAGGGAGGGAGGGAGGAAGGAAGGGAGGGAAGAAAGACAAAAATCCTGAGGACATTTTCTAAAATGTTTTCTGTAGGTGGTAGTTATAAATAATCTATTTTTATATATTTTTGTGTTAATAAAATGTATTACTTGTATTAACATTAATTATTATTTTTTAAATTTCTGGTATGGATAGTCAAATTTCATTGGCAACCTCATGTCCTCTAACTGAGAGTGAAAATATTGATAGTAATTATCTTCTTTCACTACCACCACCAACAAAAAACTTCCCAAACCAAATTAACATCTATTTCCCAGCATTTTCAACTATTGTCTCAAAAGGATTTCTACTGAAGTAGCTGAGTATGAGAGCTTTATAGATTTTATAAATTAGATTCTATTCCTTTCTAAATGCAATTCCTGTACAACAGTAGGTATCCAATGGTAACTAAGCAGGGTTATTTGAACAATGCATAAATATTTCATAGTGTGCAAAAAGCCACAAATGCCAAACTCTAAAATGTCTGCAAACATGCAAGATTTCCAGTCCCAAGAATGTAATTATTGTCTTGGGATTTGCAGGGTGTCTTGTTGAAGACCCTTTTCATTTTGAAAAAACGATGTTGCAAGGAAAATAATGCTCTAACATCCTATGTTAACCTCAATGGTCCTGATCAAGGGGAAAGATTCTTTTTGTAAATGATTTAAGAGAACACTACCTAAAGTCTTTTGTTATCTGTTAGCATAAAGAATGCCTCTCTACTAGTCCACTGTCTGGGAAAATAGGTTTATATCACAATAGGATGTGTGGCCACAAGTCTGACAATTTCAAAATCATTATTATTGGCAAAAGCTGCTATCACCATTTAGACTACATTAAAGGTAAGTTTTGGTATTTCATCTTCCTTTCCCCTCATTCTCATTATAGAATAAAGATACTTTTAAAATATCCCAGTAATTCAGACATGGATTTTAAAATTAGAAGGAAAAATTATAGTCAAAATGTTTTTTATACAGTTCTATAAGAAGTTTATAAGAATAAGTGAAAATGCAAAGTAAGAATGCTGTTTTAACATGCAACAATCAGAGATGCTTCCAAAACTCAGACAATTGAGACATACAAAATACACATGCTGCTGAAATCAGAGGACAAAGAGAAAGAAGAGAACTTCTGCAAATTGTAAAGGACTGCCCAGATATTCACTTGCATCTCCAAGAAGCCCTAAAGATACCCTGTATTCTACACAGTTACTGACACCTGACCCTGGTTAGACACTTTCCTGGATAAGCTCAATGACCAAATGCCCTCAATAACTTGGAAAATATGCTGGAAGTGTCTGTGACCCTAGTCTACTTTGAGAAAGGAAAGGAAGTGACCTTAGGTGGTTTACCTCATAGACCACTACTCACATCAGAACATCAGGTAATTCTCCACTTCCAGATGCTTGGTTAATAACTGCCCATTTTAGTATTAATATTTACAAATGGGCTGTACCTCATGTAAACAGAGACAATTCCTTCAGGGCAGAGGGGAGAATCGTGGGCTCATCAAGCATCAGATGTTGATTTTCTAAAACACCAAAATTACTGAGTGTTCATCTTCTGCAATAAAGATCCAGACCTGTGGCTAGAACCTTCCATGTTGGGCACACCTGTTCAGGCATGGCTGGATACTGTGTTGCAGATTCACTACATGAACTGTGGAAAGAGATTTGGGGAAATGCTTCAGAAGAATACTAAGGGAGTATACTTTGAGGGAGTTGATTGAAAACCCACTCAGCTAAAGAATATCCTTTCCCTACTCTCTGAGTGGCTAGGTAGTTCCAGTGATTTCTAAATATGTGACAGGAACTTGGATTATTGGAATACGCAGATATACTCTTTGGAGTGGATAAAAATCAAAAACAAATAAAAGCCACTTCAAAGCTCTATGGAAGGCAGCAGGTTGATCTTCAGTCTCTTATGAAGATCAGGAGTGATGATAACCATCAAGAGCCATATTTGACAATGTACCAAGAAACTCTGTCATGTTTGATATTACAGTGACATTTAACCTCCAGGAGAATCACTGAAATGCCCACTCTAATTCAGGCATTATTATTCACCTTGGCATGCTCAAAATGTGCTCCTTTGTGCACTAACCCTGCAAGTTATTCCTCAAAACATGTAATCATAATCAAATAAGTTAGGAAATGTTGCATACTCTGTATGTTTAGGGGTTTCTAATGAGTGTTTCACAATTAAGGCCTTGATAAGTCCTGTTGGAGAGAAAACTGTTAGCTTTCTTTAATTGAATGTCTCCAGATTTCTTTAACCACAGAATCCCTTTATGGTTACTGACTTTAGACTTATTATCCACTATCTATAAAATAAAGATAGCAATGCCTTACTCTCAGGAATTATAAAAAGGGTTAAGTGAGAAAATCCCTGACTCACAGTAGGTGAGAAATCCTATTGTGAGTCCATTTTATCATTTCTATATTGTAACCCCAAAGTGTTTCATTTGAACACACATGTTTATAGTGTGCTACTGATGCATGGATAACGAGATAAAATTTTTATGACCTGGAGTTCACATTACAATGGGGAGGAAAGTACATACAGCAGTGACTCTAACATAAGGACAGATATTTCAAAGTGCTGCAACAAAAGTACAAAGAACTAAAGAGTAAAGAGTATAGGAGAGAAGGCAGCCGATTCCCACTGAAGTATGGGGGCTACTTTTTGTTATTTGGTTTTTTTGGTTTTTTTTTTTTTTTTAGACGGAGTCTTGCTCTGTCTCCCAGGCTGGAGTGCAATGGCGCTATCTCGGCTCGCTGCAACCTCCGCCTCCCGGCTTCAAGCGATTCTCCTGCCTGAGCCTCCCAAGTAGCTGGGATCACAGCCGCCTGCCACCGCGCCCAGCTAATTTTGTATGTTTTAGTAGAGATGGGGTTTCACCATGTTAGCCAGGCTGGTCTCAAACTCCTGACCTCAGGTGATCCACCCGCCTCAGCCTCCTAAACTACTGCGATTACAGGCGTGAGCCACCATGTCCAGCCGGGGACTAATTTTTTAAAGGAAACAAGACTAAGAGTTAGAGGTGAAACCCGAATTTTGGAAGCATCCTGGCAGAGAAATTTTTTGGACTGATCTTCCAAGCACAAGGTATAATATAAGAAAGGCACAGCAGCACAAAAACGTGGCAGAAAAGAGCTACTGATACAACAAAGACATACATAAAGAGAAATTCTTATCTTTTCTAAGCTGGATGTGAACAAAATTCTTCTAATAATCTATTTCCAGTGCTAAATATATATTTTACACATATAAAAATAACATAACAACTCCACTAAAGAGGTGCCTGCCACACCTATATTCCTCCATCAGGGAAATTTCCCAGCTCATAGTCCTTACTTAGGGATGGCCCTAGACCGCCATGTAGTATACCCATCACATCACGTGTTTGGTCACCTCCAGAACTGAGGGTACCCAGCCAATTAGCCAGCCAGGAGCCCATGTGGTATACTGGCATGAATAGCATTGCTTACAGAGGAATGAGCTGAGCCATTAAGATTTTCACTCTCTGACATTTAAATAGGGAAATATGGAAAGAAGAGTCTTTGCAGTGATGTCTGAATTTGAATGCATGCAAAGAAAAAAGAGGTTCCTGTGGTAATATACAGGTCGGGAGGGACACTAACAAGATATGTGGAGAATGTACTGCACTTATGAAGAAGCATGATCATGAAAAATCCGAAGCTGAGGGAGAGAAAAAAAAAATATCAAGGCTGAATGTCAGCTAGTTGGTAACAGACCAGAAACAAGAAAAGATGCCAGAAGAAGTCAAGACCAAGAAAGGAGCTGAAGCTGGGAATTGCCAGAGCATACAAGATCTTCTACTGCTCAGATCTGCAGTGATGCTTCCCATTTAACTCCATTTCCCATGAGCCACAATAGTGTCAGAATGCCTGTTCACAAGTTGTCAAGAGAGCCCATAGGCCTAGTGACCATAAACATCCATGCACTTGTGCTGGTCTGAATGACTCTGTTCCATGCCACTAAATGAGCTAAATTAAACCAAGTTTGGAATAAGGAAGAACAAAGAAATCATCTATAATCTCAGTGTTCACACATAATGATCACTTTGTGGAGTTCTTCCCTCGTCCTTTTAATGTATTATTTTACTTGAAATGTTTTTCACATAAAATCTATAGAAAACAGGCAATTAAAATTCAGATAATTCAAACAAAGGCAAAAGTGATTATCACCTAAAATATTTAACTACTTAGAAGTTAATAGGTTGGGGCTGAAGGTTTGGTGCAGATGATAGCCTCAATTAATTTCCTTACTGCCCAGAATGTATTTTGTTTCTGGATAGAGCCCTTCTCTGATTTTAGAAGCTCTCTCTCATTTGATATGTGCATGACATAAGACCTAGCCTTCACATTTTTCCTTTCGGGCTCCATTATGCTGGTGAGTACTCTGCAACTACAAAGAAAGGAGTGAAATGGAAGGCTGTGATCTTCATTAATATTTAATATTAATCCTTCACAAATTAAGGTACAATTTGCAATTAAATGTTAAATGCATTCTTATAGCATCCCTAAAGGGTAGGTAGAATACTTCCTCCTTGTATATGGAGAAGTGGATAAACCAAGAAGGCAATGACTTTCTCAATGTCAAATAGCATAATTAGTAATGACAACCAGGACTCGATAGCTCCGAAGCTCCACTTCCTTCCATTTAGTCTTACATTTTTAGATGCCTCCAAAGTAGCTGAAACTGTGTCAGTCTCTGAAAGACACAACATAAATACAATTCATTCCTCCCTTCAAGGCCCTCACTATATAGTGTGACAGGCAGACATAAACAAAGTATTATAATACAATATAAAACTAAACTCATCATCATCATCGTTATCATCATGATCAACAGCAACAGCATAGCAATTGCTTTGGTACTAACTTAAACTCTTTCAGTGCTCAAACAACCAAAATAATTTAAGTACTATGCATTTGTCCATTTTACAGTTGTGGAAACAAGACTTTGAGAGATTAATAATTTGTTTGATGTCACAAAGCTAGAAAATGTTATATTTTAGGACCTGACCTCATGTCTATCAGACAGCAAAATTCAGACTTATAACCCTATGTTGATGTGCCTCTTATATTTAAGGTTTCTATAAATTGCTTCAGGAAAAAAATGAGGAATAAATTAATTAGGAAGTAGGAACAGGGGGGAGGAGCCAAGATGGCCGAATAGGAACAGCTCCGGTCTACAGCTCCCAGCGTGAGCGACGCACAAGATGGTGATTTCTGCATTTCCATCTGAGGTACCGGGTTCATCTCACTAGGGAGTGCCAGACAGTGGGCGCAGCTCAGTGGGTGCGCACACCATGCGCGAGCCGAAGCAGGGTGAGGCACTGCCTCACTTGGGAAGCGCAAGGGGTCAGGGAGTTCCCTTTCCAAGTCAAAGAAAGGGGTGACGGACGGCAACTGGAAAATTGGGTCACTCCCACCCGAGTACTGCGCTTTTCCAATGGGCTTAAAAAACAGCGCACCACGAGATTATATCCTGCACCTGGCTCAGAGGGTCCTACGCCCATGGAGTCTCACTGATTGCTAGCACAGCAGTCTGAGATCAAACTACAAGGTGGCAGCGAGGCTGGGAGAGGGGCGCCCGCCATTGCCCAGGCTTGATTAGGTAAACAAAGCAGCCAGGAAGCTCGAACTGGGTGGAGCCCACCACAGCTCAAGGAGGCCTGCCTGCCTCTGTAGGCTCCACCTCTAGGGGCAGGGCAAAGACAAACAAAAAGACAGCAGTAACCTCTGCAGACTTAAATGTCCCTGTCTGACAGCTTTGACGAGAGCAGTGGTTCTCCCAGCACGCAGCTGGAGATCTGAGAAGGGGCAGACTGCCTCCTCAAATGGGTCCCTGACCCCTGACCCCCGAGCAGCCTAACTGGGAGGCACCCCTCAGCAGGGGCACATTGACACCTTACACGGCAGGGTATTCCAACAGACCTGCAGCTGAGGGTCCTGTCTGTTAGAAGGAAAACTAACAAACAGAAAGGACATCCACACCAAAAACCCATCTGTACATCACCATCATCAAAGACCAAAACTAGATAAAACCACAAAGATGGGGAACAAACAGAACAGAAAAACTGGAAACTCTAAAAAGCAGAGCGCCTCTCCTCCTCCAAAGGAACGCAGGTCCTCACCAGCAACGGAACAAAGCTGGATGGAGAATGACTTTGACGAGCTGAGAGAAGAAGGCTTCAGACGATCAAATTACTCTGAGCTATGGGAGGACATTCAAACCAAAGGCAAAGAAGTTGAAAACTTCGAAAAAAATTTAGAAGAATGTATAACTACAATAACCAATACAAAGAAGTGCTTAAAGGAGCTGATGGAGATGAAAACCAAGGCTCGAGAACTACGTGAAGAATGCAGAAGCCCCAGGAGCCGATGCGATCAACTGGAAGAAAGGGTATCAGTGATGGAAGATGAAATGAATGAAATGAAGCAAGAAGGGAAGTTTAGAGAAAAAAGAATAAAAAGAAATGAGCAAAGCCTCCAAGAAATATGGGACTATGTGAAAAGACCAAATCTACGTCTGATTGGTGTACCTGAAAGTGATGGGGAGAATGGAACCAAGTTGGAAAACACTCTGCAGGATATTATCCAGGAGAACTTCCCCAATCTAGCAAGGTAGGCCAACGTTCAGATTCAGGAAATATAGAGAACACCACAAAGGTACTCCTCGAGAAGACCAACTCCAAGACACATAATTGTCAGATTCACCAAAGTTGAAATGAAGGAAAAAATGTTAAGGGCAGCCAGAGAGAAAGGTCAGGTTACCCTCAAAGGGAAGCCATCAGACTAACAGCAGATCTCTCGGCAGAAACCCTACAAGCCAGAAGAGAGTGGGGGCCAATATTCAACATTCTTAAAGAAAAGAATTTTCAACCCAGAATTTCATATCCAGCCAAACTATGCTTCATAAGCAAAGGAGAAATAAAATACTTTACAGACAAGCAAATGCTGAGAGATTTTGTCACCACCAGGCCTGCCCTAAAAGAGCTCCTGAAGGAAGCGCTAAACATGGACAGGAACAACCGGTACCAGCCATTGCAAAATCATGCCAAAATGTAAAGACCATCGAGACTAGGAAGAAACTGCATCAACTAACGAGCAAAATAACCAGCTAACCTCATAATGACAGGATCAAATTCACACATAACAATATTAACTTGAAATGTAAATGGACTAAATGCTCCAATTAAAAGACACAGACTGGAAAATTGGATCAAGAGTCAAGACCCATCAGTCTGCTGTATTCAGGAAATCCATCTCACGTGCAGAGACACACATAGGCTCAAAATAAAAGGATGGAGGAAGATCTACCAAGCAAATGGAAAATAAAAAAAGGCAGGGGTTGCAATCCTAGTCTCTGGTAAAACAGACTTTAAACCAACAAAGATCAAAAGAGACAAAGAAGGCCATTACATAATGGTAAAGGGATCAATTCAACAAGAAGAGCTAACTATCCTAAATATATATGCACCCAATACAGGAGCACCAAGATTCATAAAGCAAGTCCTGAGTGACCTACAAAGAGACTTAGACTCCCACACATTAATAATGGGAGACTTTAACACCCCACTGTCAACATTAGACAGATCAACGGGACAGAAAGTCAACAAGGATACCCAGGAATTGAACTCAGCTCTGCACCAAGCCGACCTAATAGACATCTACAGAGCTCTCCACCCCAAATCAACAGAATATACATTTTTTTCAGCACCACACCACACCTATTCCAAAATTGACCACATACTTGGAAGTAAAGCTCTCCTCAGCAAATGTAAAAGAACACAAGTTATAACAAACTGTCTCTCAGACCACAGTGCAATCAAACTAGAACTCAGGATTAAGAATCTCACTCAAAACCGCTCAACTACATGGAAACTGAACAACCTGCTCCTGAATGACTACTAGGTACATAACGAAATGAAGGCAGAAATAAAGATGTTCTTTGAAACCAACGAGAACAAAGACACAACATACCAGAATCTCTGGGACGCATTCAAAGCAGTGTGTAGAGGGAAATTTATAGCATTAAATGCCCATAAGAGAAAGCAGGAAAGATCCAAAATTGACACCCTAACATCACAATTAAAAGAACTAGAAAAGCAAGAGAAAACACATTCAAAAGCTAGCAGAAGGCAAGAACTAACTAAAATCAGAGCAGAACTGAAGGAAATAGAGACACAAAAAACCCTTCAAAAAATCAATGAATCCAGGAGCTGGTTTTTTGAAAGGATCAACTAAATTGATAGACTACTAGCAAGACTATTAATGAGAAAAAGAGAGAAGAATCAAATAGACGGCAATAAAAAATGATAAAGGGGATATCACCACCAATCCCACAGAAATACAAACTACCATCAGAGAATACTACAAACACCTCTATGCAGATAAACTAGAAAATCTAGAAGAAGTGGATAAATTCCTGGACACATACCCTCTACCAAGACTAAACCAGGAAGAAGTTGAATCTCTGAATAGACCAATAACAGGCTCTGAAATTGTGGCAACAATCAATAGCTTACCAGCCAAAAAGAGTACAGGACCAGATGGATTCACAGCCGAATTCTACCAGAGGTACAAGGAGGAGCTGCTACCATTCCTTCTGAAACTATTCCAATCAATAGAAAAAGAGGGAATCCTCCCTAACTCATTTTATGAGGACAGCATCATTCTGATACCAAAGCCAGGCAGAGACACAACAAAAAAAGAGAATTTTAGACCAATGTCCTTGATGAACATTGATGCAAAAATCCTCAATAAAATACTGGCAAACCGAATCCAGCAGCACATCAAAAAGCTTATCCACCATGATCAAGTGGGCTTCATCCCTGGGATGCAAGGCTGGTTCAATATACACAAATCAATAAATGTAATCCAGCATATAAACAGAGCCAAAGACAAAAACCACATGATTATCTCAATAGATGCAGAAAAGGCCTCTGACAAAATTCAACAACCCTTCATGCTAAAAACTCTCAATAAATTAGGTATTGATGGGACGTATCTCAAGATAATAAGAGCTATCTATGACAAACCCACAGCCAATATCATACTGAATGGGCAAAAATTGGAAGCATTCCCTTTGAAAACTGGCACAAGACAGGGATGACCTCTCTCACCACTCCTATTCAACATAGTGTTGGAAGTTCTGGCCAGGGCAATCAGGCAGGAGAAGGAAATAAAGGGTATTCAATTAGGAAAAGAGGAAGTCAAATTGTCCCTGTTTGCAGATGACATGATTGTATATCTAGAAAACCCCATTGTCTCAGCCCAAAATCTCCTTAAGCTGATAAGGAACTTCAGCAGAGTCTCAGGATACAAAATCAATGTACAAAAATCACAAGCATTCTTATACACCAACAACAGACAAACAGAGAGCCAAATCATGAGTGAACTCCCATTCACAATTGCTTCAAAGAGAATAAAATACCTAGGAATCCAGCTTACAAGGGATGTGAAGGACCTCTTCAAGGAGAACTACAAACCACTGCTCAATGAAATAAAAGAGGATACAAACAAATGGAAGAAGATTCCATGCTCATGGGTAGGAAGAATCAATATCGTGAAAGTGTCCATACTGCCCAAGGTAATTTACAGATTCAATGCCATCCCCATCAAGCTACCAATGCCTTTCTTCACAGAATTGGAAAAAAACTACTTTAAAGTTCATATGGAACCAAAAAAGAGCCCGCATCGCCAAGTCTATCCTAAGCCAAAAGAACAAAGCTGGAGGCATCACACTACCTGACTTCAAACTATACTACTAGGCTACAGTAACCAAAACAGCATGGTACTGGTACCAAAATAGAGATATAGATCAATGGAACAGAACAGAGCCCTCAGAAATAACGCCACATATCTACAACTATCTGATCTTTGACAAACCTGAGAAAAACAAGCAATGGGGAAAGGATTCCTTATTTAATAAATGGTGCTGGGAAAACTGGCTAGCCATATGTAGAAAGCTGAAACTGGATCCCTTCCTTACACCTTATACAAAAATCAATTCAAGATGGATTAAAGACTTAAACGTTAGACCTAAAACCATAAAAACCCTAGAAGAAAACCTAGGCATTACCATTCAGGACATAGGCATGGGCAAGGACTTCATGTCTAAAACACCAAAAGCAATGGCAACAAAAGCCAAAATTGACAAATGGGATCTAATTAAACTAAAGAGCTTCTGCACAGCAAAAGAAACTACCATCAGAGTGAACAGGCAACCTACAAAATGGGAGAAAATTTTTGCAACCTACTCATCTGACAAAGGGCTAATATCGAGAATCTACAATGAACTCAAACAAATTTACAAGAAAAAAACAAACAACCCCATCAAAAAGTGGGCAAAGGACATGAACAGACACTTCTCAAAAGAAGACATTTATGCAGCCAAAAAACACATGAAAAAATGCTCACCATCACTGGCCATCAGAGAAATGCAAATCAAAACCACAATGAGATACCATCTCACACCAGTGAGAATGGCAATCATTAAAAAGTCAGGAAACAACAGGTGCTGGAGAGGATGTGGAGAAATAGGAACACTTTTACACTGTTGGTGGGATTGTAAACTAGTTCAACCATTGTGGAAGTCAGTGTGGCGATTCCTCGGGGATCTAGAACTGGAAATACCATTTGACCCAGCCATCCCATTACTGGGTATATACCCAAAGGACTATAAATCATGCTGCTATAAAGACACATGAACATGTATGTTTATTGCGGCATTATTCACAATAGCAAAGACTTGGAACCAACCCAAATGTCCAACAATGATAGACTGGATTAAGATAATGTGGCACATATACACCATGGAATACTATACAGCCATAAAAAATGATGAGTTCATGTCCTTTGTAGGGACATGGATGAAATTGGAAAGCATCATTCTCAGTAAACTATCACAAGAACAAAAAACCAAACACCGCATATTCTCACTCGTAGGTGGGAATTGAACGATGAGATCGCATGGACACAGGAAGGGGAATATCACACTCTGGGGACTGGTGGGGGGTGGGGGGAGGGGGGAGGGATAGCATTGGGAGATATACCTAATGCTAGATGATGAGTTAGTGGGTGCAGCGCACCAGCATGGCACATGTATACATATGTAACTAACCTGCACAATGTGCACATGTACCCTAAAACTTAAAGTATAATTTAAAACAAACAAACAAACAAACATTCAAAAAAAAAAAGAAGTAGGAACAATGGAAAAACCCCTTATGGCTTGTTGACTTCTGTGTGGGCTACTTTAGAATTCTCTTTTATCAGACTCTCATCTTCAAAGACCACTACACCACAAGTAAAAACACTGGGTTCAGGTCTTTGCCTTTCCATTCAACTTTCACCAAGAATGCTTAAATAACAGTGGAACAACCCAACAAAAACCACATTTCTGTGATGCTCACTTGATTCTGCTGATGGAGATTTTTCCTAGATGATTGGGATGGATTTCTTTTTCCTATGAAAGATAGTGGATCAGCCAGGCACAGAGGCTAATGCCTGTAATCCCAGCACTTTGAGAGACTGAGGCAGCAGGATTGCTTGAGCCCAGGAGTTCAAGACCAGCCTGGGAAACATGGTGAAACCCCATCTCTGCGAAAAATGCAAAACTTAGCTAGGCATGGTGGCATGTGCCTGTAGTCCCAGCCAGTAGGGAGGCTGAGGAAGGAGGATGGCCTGAGCCTGGAAGGTCAAAGCTGCAGTGAGCCAAGATTGTACCACTGTACTCTAGCCTGGGTGACAGAGCAAAACCTTGTCCAAAAAAAAAAAAAAAAAGGGAAAGAAGAAAAGATAGTCGTTCTTGGTCCATCACCAGTAGTGTTGACATTTGACATTGGCTTCATTTTTCTACCCACTTGAGACACTTGGGAAATTCTAAGTTAGAAAGTTGACTAACTTAGACAACATCTTAATTGCTGCTTCTTCACAGTATGTAATAAGGTGGCATTTACTTTCAACAGCCCTCTTGTTAAAGTCATTGGGGTTTAAAATGGTGTAAAATGAAAGCAATTCATTATAATTCCACTGAAGTAAAATTTCTTTGTGGGGTTGAATGTAATATCATAGTTAGGTTTTCAATACTCTTATCACAAACTACAAGTTGGTTTCTGAATCAGCTTATAGAAAAGGAACAAAGGGGAAGGAAACTCATTGAAGGTCACAAATAGTCTATTAGCCTAGGAGTAAGAGTCAGAATCTCAGAGGTCACAGGCTTCAATGGAAAGGCAAAAGGCAGCTTATTTTACCCCTGGTGCCAATAGTATATCTATACAGAAGGTCAGGCAATCACTATGCCACCTGTACAAAGTAGGCACCACCTCTGGCCAGTCTCAGTGCAATATTGTATACAAAAGAAATAGGCAAAAGTTATAGTTTCAGACACTTTTCCACTAACAGTGTCTATTGGCCCTGGCTCTGTCTTCTGTGATTCTACTTTGTCTGGTCCTCAGTCTTGAAAACCAAAGGTACACTTTTGTCACCTGCCAGGTTCATGGGGAAGGTTAATCATCCATGATCCAAAGGACTACTCTTTACAACAGAAACATCTTGTTGCAACAATTTCAGAGAATTCAGAAATGCAACATTCTGTATGTTGACAACTATCCTGGAATGGCAAACACAAAAATGACCTAAATAGCTTGTTTTTCAAGACTCAAGAAGTAATTTTCAGGATTCAAAATTGAAGCAATTTATCCAAAGAAAATGTATATGGTGGTTATGAGACAAGCTCAAGAGTCAGATAGACCTGATATGAATTTCAGCTCTGCCATAAAATAGACTTGTAGATTATTTCATCTCCCTGAGTCTCTGTTTCCTAATATGTAAAATGGAGGTAAATAATCAAATCTCTCTCACAGTCAGGGTTACAAGTTTTGTCAGAAGCCTTATATACTTTTTTCTTTTTCATTTTAGTGTCATCATATCCCTTTGCTGTAGGCATTTTTGTTTTCCTTCTTTTTATTGATGAGGAAATTGAGACTTCAAGAAGTTTAATATTTGCCCAAGGTCATAGAGCAGGAAATAGTTACACTGGGATACAACCTCAGGAATTTGAACTTGAGCATCAGAGTCTTCCGTTAAGCTTCTATACAGCCTCTAAGGCAGGGGTTCCCAATCCCCAGACCACGGACCAGTACCAGTCCACAGCCTATCAGGAACTGGACCACACAGTAGGAGGGAGGTAAGCAGCAGGTGAGCAAGTGAATTTTCATCTGTATTTACAGCAGCTCCCTGTCACTCGCATTAAGCCCTGAGCTCCACCTCCTGTCAGATCAGTGGTGGTGTTAAATTCTCATAGGAGCAAGAACTCTATTGTGAACTGCATAGGTGTGAGATCTAGATTGTGCAATCCGTATGAGAATCTAATGCCTGATGATCTGTCACTGTCTCCCATCACCCGCAGATGGGACTGTCTAGTTGCAGGAAAGCAAGCTCAGGCCTCCCACTGATTCCACATTATGGTGAGTTAATAATTATTCATTATACATTATAATGTAATAATAATAGACATAAAGTGCACAATAAATGTAATGTGCTTGAATCATCCCAAAACCATATCCCCCACCTACCCCAGGTCTTGGAAAAATTGTCTTCCACAAAACCTGTTCCTGGTGCCAAAAAGGTTGGAGACCACTGCTCTAAGCACTCACTAAATACATATCATCATCACCATCACCATCATCATTACTACCTCCACCCCTGCCTTTCTACTGTAGCTACTCCTACCACTGCTGTGGCTGCTGCTACTACAACTGCTGTGCTACTCTCACCACCAGTATAACTAATATACATTGGAGAAAAAAAAATATTGTGTATAGAGATGCAATACTTATCTTTTAAATATGGAAACAGTTTAATCCCAACAGAATTTTCCAACTAAACCTTATTAGACAGTTTGAGAGTAATAGGCTATGTCCTGGTGAGGAAAGTTTTCCCAGACAACATGGCCACCCTCATAGTGCTATATTTATTCTTATGTTTATGTTCCCTTTAGCAAGATAAAGAGGAAAAAGAAAGAGTTAGGAGGTGGGGGACATATTTGTTAATGCTGCAGAATAAGAATCAGCATAGAACACTGAAGAAGCCCATTGCTCTAGTCCTGTGGACCTTTGCTAGGGCCTGGCTCTGCCATGTGTTGAAGATGAAACCTGGAGTAAATCATTCAACCTTGAGGGATTTCTTCTTTCTAACATGTAAGATCAGGTTGCCTCTAACTCTAACGTTCAGTAAATCTATAAAAATATCTTCGTATAACAAAGCCCTAGGTATAAGTAATCCTCCAAGAAACCCAAAAAAACAGCAAAGCCTACTCAAAGGAGGTCTCTTCTGCTGGTTTATCTACTTATGTTCTAATTAACCAAGAATAAGGATAGCCTGTCTTGAAATTTTCTTTGGAAGCCTGGAATTTAAATGCATGTCATTGCACACAGAATTTTCTCTTCAGAAATCCTTCTAATGAGCCAGGGGAAGAGTACATTCTTCCTTTTTAGGTAAATTTCATTGGAGTTCTTTGTATTCTAACAAACTAATTAATGCTGAAGACTACAAGAACCGAATAACACTGATCTGAATGCTTTATGTTTGTAGTGTTCTTTTCAGTTTACCCAGAGCTTTTGTTTCTACTAGATCACGTGTTTCAAGCTTCAGACAAAACCAGTCACTAAACTTCACATCCATAATGTCCAACTGCCAGTAGGCATCCCTCTGGGGACACCCCACAGGTGTCACAAACTCCACAGCCCAAAACTGAACTCACTAAATCTGTAAAAACTCCATTCTGCTTTATCTCTGTGGTGTCACCATTCACCTAATTCCAAAACAGAAACCTGGCTCGTCGTCCCTCTCTTCTTCCTAACCTCTCCCTTTAAAATCAGGACGTGCCTATTTTATCTCCTAAATGTTTCTTGGCTATCCTTTCTATCCTTGTTCTATCTCTTCCCCATCTGTCACCTGGACTCCTGCAGGTCTGCTTAACTTGTCACCCTGTCTCTGGTCTTATTTTTCCCAAATCCATTTTCCACATTTCTACCCTGGAAACAACTAAAACACCACCCTCTGTAACTCCTGGGAATGGTTCTCCATCACTTTAAAATTCACAGTATAAAACTCAAGGACCTTCACAACCTGACCTCTACCTACTTCTCTAACCTCACTTCCCGTACTTCACACTCAAGCCACACGAGGCTGCTTCTCATATCTGTGCTGTTGCTCATGATATCTGCTCTGCCGCAGAGGCCACCTGCCATTGCCACATCTGGTCCTTCACTAGGTTGACTCTTCCTCACCCTGTAAGCCTCAGTTCAAGGATTACATCCTCCAACCACAAAAATATAAAGAGAGAAAATATTAAACCACTCTTAACAATGTTCCTGGAAGTGTTCTAAGCAAATTACAGGCATTGGTCTATTTAATTATTTCAGTGACTATATGCATAAAATACTATTGCTATTCTCATTTTATAGATGGTGATATAGTTTAGATATTTGTCCTTACCCAAATTTTATGTCTAATTGTAATTCCTAATACTGGAGGTGGGGTCTGGTGGGAGGTGTTTGGGACATGGGGGCGGATCCCTCATGGCTTGGTGCTATCTTTGTGATAGCGAGTGAGTTCTCCTAAGATCTGGTCATTTCACCATATGATGTGCCTCTTCCTCGCTTTGCCTTCTGCCATTAATAAAACCTTCCTGAGGCCTCCCCAGAAGCCGAGCAGTTGCCATCACCATGATTCCTGTAAAGTCTGCAGAACCATGAGCCAATTAAATCTTTTTTCGTTAAAAATTATCCAGCCTCTGGTGTTTCTTGGTAGCCATGCAAGAACAGCCTAATACAGAGGGGGAACTGAGGCACAGAAATGCTAAGTGGCACAACTAGCAAGTGGCAGAGCTGGCACGAGAGCTGGAGCTCCCTGGCTCCAGAGTTCTGTTTCAAATTCCTATACCACACCTCTTCCAGTGAGCCTTCCCTGATTTCCCTCCATCACCCCATTCACCCCACTGATGATGTGATTTCCATCTGATATAGTTTGGCTGTGTCCCCACCCAAATCTCATCTTGAATTGTCTCTCCCACAATTCTCATGTTTGGGAGGGACCTGGTGGGAGGTTGTTGAATCACGGGGGCAGGTCTTTCCCAGACTGTTCTCATGATAGTGAAAAAGTCTCACGAGATCTCATCTGTAAGGGGGCGTTTCCCTGCACAAGCTCTCTCTTTGCCTGCTGCCATCCACATAAGGTGTGACTTCCTCCTCCTTGGCTTCTGCCATGATTGAGAGGCCTCCTCAGCCACATGGAACTGTAAGTTCATTAAACCCTTTTTCCTGTATAAATTACTCAGTCTCGGACATGTCTCAGCAGTGTAAAAATGGACTAATACAGTAAATTGGGACCAGGAGAATGGGGGACTGCTGAAAAGATACCTGAAAATGTGGAAGTGAATTTGGAACTAGGTAACAAACAGAGGTTGGAACAGTTCAGAGGGGTCAGAAGAAGACAAGAAAATGTGGGGAAGTTTGGAACTCCCTAGAGACTTGTTGAATGGCTTTGAACAAAATGCTGATAATGATATGGACAATGAAATCCTGACCAAGGTGTTATCAGATGGAAATGAAGAACTTGTGGGGAACTGGAGAAGGTGATACTTGGTACATTTTAGCAAAGAGACTGGTGGCATTTTGCCCATGCCCTAGAGATTTGTGGAACTTTGAACTTGAGAGAGATGATTTAGGTTATCTGGAGGAAGAAATTTCTAAGCAGCAAAACATTCAAGAGGTGACTTGGGTGCTGTTAAAGGCATTCAGTTTTATAAGGGAAACAGAGCATAAAAGTTCAGAAAATGTGTAGCCTGACAATGCAATAGAAAAGAAAATCTCATTCTCTGAGGAGAAATTCAAGCTGGCTGCAGAAATTTACATAAGTAACTAGGAGCCAAATGTTAATCCCCAAGACAATGGGGGAAATGTCTCCAGGGCATGTCAGAGGTCTTCATGGCAGCCCGTCCCATCACAGCCCCTCCCATCACTGGCCTAGGTGGACAAGATGGTTTCCTAGGCTTGGCCAAGGGGCCCCCTGCTGTGTGCAGCCTAGGGATTTGGTGCCCTGCAACCCAGCTGTTCCAACTGCAGCTAAAATGGGCCAAGGTATAGCTCGGGCTGTGGCTTCAGAGGGTGCAAGTCCCAAGTCTTAGCAGCTTCCATGTGATGTTGAGCCTGCAGTTGCACAGACATCAAGAACTGAGGTTTGGGAACCTCATCTAGATTTCAGAAGATGTATAGAAATGCCTGGATGTTCAGGCAGAAGTTTGCTGTAAGGGTGGGACCCTCATGGAAAACCTCTGCTAATGCAGTGTGGAAGGAAATGTAGGATTAGAGCCCCCACACAGAGTCTCTGCTGGGGCACTGCTTAGTGAATCTGTGAGAAGATGGCAATCATCCCCCAGTCCCCAGAATGGTAGAGCCACTGACACCTTGCACCATGCGCCTGGAAAAGCCATAGACACTCAATGCCAGCCCGTGAAAGAAGCCAGGAGGGAGACCATACCCTGCAAAGGCACAGAGGTGGAGCTGCCCAAGACCATGGGAACCCACCTCTTGCATCAGTGTGACCTCGATGTGAGACATGGATTCAAAGGAGATCATTTTGGAGCTTTAAGATTTGACTGCCCTGCTGTATTTTGGACTTACATGGGGCCTGTAGCCCCTATGTTTTGGCCAATTACTACCATTTAGAATGGCTGTATTTACCCAATGCCTACAACCTCATTGTATCTAGGAAGTAACTAACTTGCTTTTGATTTTACAGGCTCATAGGCAGAAGGGACTTGCCTTGTCTCAGATGAGACTTTGGACTGTGAACTTTTGAGTTAATGCCGAAATAAGTTAAGACTGTGAGGGAAGGCATGGCTGGTTTTGAAATGTGAGGATGAAGTTTGGGAGGGGTGAGGGGTGGAATGATACGGTTTGGCTGTGTCCCCACCCAAATGTCCTCTTGAACTGTATCTCCCACAAGTCCCATGTGTTGTGGGAGGGACCCAGTGGGAGGTGGTTGAATCATGGGAGCAGGTCTTTCCCATGCTGTTCTCATGATAGTAAATAAGTCTCACGAAATCTGATGGTTCTATAAGGGGGACTTTCCCTGCTCAAGCTCTCTCTTTGCCTGCCACCATCCACATAAAATGTGACTTGTTCCTCCTTGGCTTCTGCCATGATTGTAAGGCCTCCCCAGCCACATGGAACTCTAAGTTCCTTAAACCCTTTCTGCTGTATAAATTACCCAGTCTCGGGTATGTCTTTATCAGCAGTGTGAAAATGGACTAATACACCATCTCAGAGATTTATCTATTATGGTGCATACAAACCATTATTTTCCAAAGTCCAGTCTTAGCAACACCTTCATTACAATGTTCCAGCATATGTATTAAAAACTGCAGCTACTCCTTTTCTTAAAACCATCCAAAAATGCATAGCTCTGCACCTCCTCTAGATCTCTTGAATTAAACTCTCAAAGGGCAGAGCACAGGAAACTGTGTTACTGACAACCTTTGTATTAGAGTCTATGCACATACAATAATATGGGGATTAAATCAGATAATGCATGTATGGGACTTAGTCCGCAAATTCTCACATAATACGTGCTCCAAAATGTTAGCCCCTGTTGTTTTTATGGCCATCCTTATTACTGTCTGATACAAAGGAACAAGACTAAACAAGATCTAATGAATTTTCTATTTACTAAGAAAAAAAGTGGAAGAGAGATGACAAACCACGCTACTAGAACCATAACACATGAGGTCTTTTGTGATCAGGCAAAGAATAATTTTGAAGGAAATAAGAAGTTTGTGCTTTCCAGTTCCATGTTCTCTCGGGTTTGTCTTAGGTAAACCACAGGGGAAGAAAAAATACAGATATATTTTTATTTTAGCAGTTCTATTCCTGAGAATAGTGGCGCCTACTTAAGTAATATGACCCCAAGTACAGGAATTAGGGTGATTAAAGATTTAAAAGCTTAAAGCCATCAGCACTGTTATACTATGAAGTCTCAAGCCTCAGAAAAGCAGAAATAGCCAGCTAATATAAACAAGAGAAATCCGTCTGAGCTAGAAATAAGTATCTTATTCTGGAAAAGAAGATCTACAGTAAAGTTAACCCCATGAGGAATGCATTAAAGTCCTTGATAGACAAAATGACAACTTGAATATAATATCCCATAGCTTCGAAATCTTGTTCTTTCTGTATGTCTTATTTTATATGTATCACTTATTGAAACCAGTTATTTAACTTATCTTTCATCTAATGGTCAGTTTGAAACTTTTTTTAAGTTAAAAGTGCTTGCTTAGCATGTATTAATTCCTAATCTCTAGTCAACAATGCCCAAAGCCAGGTGATCTGCTATGACTTATTTTCTTGAGTTGCTGAAGACATTACTGCCATGTGAAGAACTGCAAGGATGGCGAATGTCAAAGGAAGCAACAAGGAGTGTTATGGAGGCCGACAGTAACTTTTTTTTTGTCTTGTTTTTGTTTTTTGTTTTTTGTTTTTTTGTAAAGCATTTCCTAGTTCCTTCATTAGAGTAAGTATTTTTCCTTATTATAATTGTTTATGAATCTGTCTTTCTACTACTCCTGGACAGTAGGGACAGAGTCTCATTCAACATCGTGTCATTAGATTGAGCAAAGAATAGGCAATCAGTAAATGTTTGTTGAATTGAAGGAAAGAGGGAAGAAAGGAAGGAAGGATGGAAGGAAAGGAAAGGAAAAAGGAAGAATGGAAGGAAGGAAGGAAGAAAAGTTGGCTACCGGATGGTCATAATGCTTAGCAATTTACAGTTAAAATGGATGCAAATTCAAAACTTGCAATAACAACACAGTAAAAATAATCCTGTAAAACCACTCCCTCTACAAATAAATAGTAAATGCCTACCATGTGCAGGAGCATGCTAGTTCCTAAAACTAAGTGCTTGTATTACCTCTCAAGCCATGTACTAAATAAACACAATAACCACATTCCTCACTCTCATGGAGCCTCCACTCCTGGAGGAAAAAGGACATTAAACTTTTAATAGAAAGTCAGTTTATTGTGGTCATTGGGGAAGTAATAAATGATGGAGTGAATAACAGAAAAGCTTGTGAGAAACTATGAATATATTTAATGAAAAAATGATGAAGGAATGGGAGTGTTTAACCTGGAGAAGATTAAGAAGATCATAAAAATGCTCTGGGACAATTAAAGAGGCAAATCCTTACGTTAGGCATATTTAGGATAGCCATGGAATTCAAAACAAGGACCAAAATGTAGATGTCACAAGGAAGTAGATTTGGGGTTAATTTGAGGAAAACTAATCTCATTGTAGAACTCCAACTTGAATCCTGGCCAATATTATGGACACAGTTAGAGCCTACTGCCTGGCTCTACGCCAGTCACCCAAAATCAAATCCAATGAGAAAGTTTATGAGTTATTCTACATGGAGCTGGCCGTCTTGCTTGATACCATGTCAAAGACTTTACAGCATTGACTATTTTTATTTAATTGCCCCTAAAAACCCCTGTGCCTTATGGAAATCTGTCACTCTCCCACCCTGACAGAGAAATAGAGGCATCAGCTTATAAAAACCCCAGAGTTCCCTCCTCACGTTCTTCCCAGCTATTTTGTATATCTTCCTCTCTGTCCTGAATTCAGCAGATCTTAGTCCCAGGTTATCCTGCCTCAGCTTTTTGTTGCCTCTTGATGCCTTTTATAATCTTACCATAATTCCCAGAATCACCTGAAGGTTTTCTCTTGTGAAAATCAGAAATTATGTCTTCATGGTCAGCTCCTCTCATGAAATATTTGGCTAATCTACTGTATCTCAACCTACAGTTGAATTCTCCTTCTACCTGGTTATTCTGTATAACCTGGGTACTGCTCAGTTCTTTGCAACCTGAAATTATTTTATATTTTCCAGAACTGTCTGAGATATATACCATTCCTGCACCATTCAGATAGAGAAAAAGATGGTGATGTTCTTTAGACAGACACACATTTAAAAGCAGAAGCATAGTGCTTACATATATCTACAGAGAGGTGTATATGCCTTCTTTGCATTTATTTATTTCCCAAATATTTATCAAGCTCCTACTATGTGCCAAGCACATTCTAGAAGCTGGAATATAGCACTGGACCAAAGATAAACTTATCTGCTCTCATGGAACTAATACTTTGTTGGCAAAAAAAAGAGTAAACAAACAATACACTCACCAACACAGAAATGTGTACATACATATATGACACATACGGCTTTATTGATATATAATAAAATGTAAATATTTCATGTATGATTTGATAAATTTTGATATATGCATTCACCTGTGAAACCATCACTACAATCAAGAGAATTTCTGCCTGCTGCTTTATAATCTCTATCCAACCCCCTCCCAAGTAACTACTGATCTGCTTCCTATCACTATTGTTTGTATTTTCTACACATTTATGTAAGTGAAACCATACAGTATGTACACATTTTTGTCTGGCATAATGATTTTGACATTTATCCATGTTGTTGCACATTTCAATAGTTCATTAGTTTTTATTGCTGAGCATCCTATTGTATGGATATATCACAATTTATTTCTCTATCTACCTGTCAATGAACATTTGGGTTGTTTTCAATTTTTAGCTAATAAAAATAAAGAGATAGATAGATTGATCAATAGACAGAGGCATAGGTAATGTGTGTGTATATATATATATATATATATATATACACACACACACATACACACAAACATCTATGTATACACACATATGTATATGTCGTCTCTATATCTACCTATGTATATATACACACATATACAAATTCATCTATGTCTCCACTCACAATTTGTACTCTCCAGCACTTTCACTGGCTCCCTTGTGAGTTCTAAGTCAAAAGGCATTGATAGAAATAGGTTTGGAAGGCTGTGAATAGGATTCAAGCATTCATCAGGAAAGTGCTCAATAACCTCAAGGGTTTCTTTAAACATAAAGGGGAAGACACTGGGACCCTATCAGTCGTTCATTACGTGCCCTTGTAATGTGCTTGCAAAACACCCAATACATTGCCCGTCACAGCAAGATGCTCTCTTTCTAGTTGAGAAAATCTCCCAGACCTCAAAGATCACAGACTCTGATTTATGTGATCAGATAAAAATGTATTCTGCAGTCATCCTTGGAAAATCCCAAGTAAAACAAATTAAAACAAACAAAAACCCCTGCAATATACCAGGAGAGCAAATCAAAACTGAGAAGCTGTGCCCCAATAAAAATTAAAGTTACAGTAGACATTCATAGTTAGTCGCTCTCTGTCTGTTGTAGATGTAGAAGTGTTCTGATCTCCCTAATTTGAGGGCTGTTACAATTTAGATAACAGATGACACAAACTGAATATACAGTCAAAATTAAACCACTTACAAAGCTTAAAATCTATAGCCTTATACATGATTTTGCTCTTCTTGATGGGTCTACCTTTACTCATGAACCCATAGCTCTAGGAGGCAACCAACCATGGAAAGTGATAATTAGCTAAGATGTACATATCAAGGCAATTAGTTTATTTTTTTCTCAAAAATGCTGATATTCCCTAGAAAGAATAAAGAAAAGAGTTTAAATGAAGATAAAAGATTCCTAGAGCTTGCATCTTTGCTGATCTTATTAAATTTACAACACAAGACAACTTTATCATTAATATTATACAATGGCATAAACCACAATAGGATACTTCTCAAGCAGAAAATGGCAAAAAAAATTACACAAAACACAAAATATTTTCTGAGGAGTTAAGAAGCTTTCTTGGACAAGTGATGTTACAATAAAATATTAATGTATGCTCATTTGTCATGTGTTAATTAGCAGAAAAAGCTGTAGGAAGTCCGGATTACCGTGCAAATGTTAATTAGGTCATAATTTATGTTAAGCATTTCTAAGTTTAAGAGCACCGCGTCTCATTTAGCAGCAGTTGAACTTTAGAAATAATTTGCATGTGCAACTGCTCGTTTTCAATTTTAATATGACAGTCACTTCATTTTAATAAATACAAGAAACTGCATTTAAATAATAGCAAATTCTGGACTAATTTGGTCACAGCCAGTGCATTTCCCTAGGAAACTGAAACTTTGTCCTTTCATCACTGTTCAGGTAATAAAAAAAATATGCTTCAGAAGATATTTTTCCTAAAAGAGCCCAGAGAGTCCTCCTGACTCCTCATCAACTATCCCCATTTCTTTTTTCGGAGAAAATGTCCTCCCAGCTGGTTTTTCACGTGATCCACGTTGGCCGTCTTCCTTTCCCACCTCATCACGTTTTTACCTCTCCACCTGGGTTTGCTACACAGCAGCATTCTGCCGGTTCTCCCCTATTTTGCTTTTACATATTTGAATTTATTTTTCTTTAAGTTGTCAACTTATTAAGTTTTGTTTTTTATTCTGTTGCAGAGTAATGTAGGATTCCAGCTGAATTCCTGTAAGCCACAGGAAACTCACATTGGAAAGGTAAAAAGTCCTACCTGGGGGTAGGAAATCTTTGGAAAGAAAAGCAATTCTGGCATCGCCAGAGTGGGTAATCTTTTTATTTACTGCTACACTGGTTCCGAACAGCCTTCCTAACTTTCCTTGTGCCATGGACTCCTTTAGTGGTCCAGTGAAGCCTATGCATCCCTTTTAAAATAAAGGATTAAAAAGAAAACTAATTATAATGAAATAACATTTTAAAAATGTGTGATATAATAAGATGTATGCTTCTTTATTAATGCATTAAAGAACATAATCTGACTGCAGGTCTGCAGGTCTGAATAATGACTGTAATTTCAAAATACCTGTAGTAAGAACCCTAAGTGATTTTTCAAGCCATCTGCATTTCAACAGTATAAAAATACCTGAGATTTCTATTGGTGGCAAAGTCACAAGACTCTAGAAAGATATTTTTAATCAATGTTTCCCTAACTTAAATTTTACATTATAATTATGAAATGTAACCTTTTAAAAATATTTTTACTTTCAAAAACTATTTTCATTTTATACTTCTTGTCCATGCGCAAACTTTTTTCTAAAACATATGTATAATTATGGTGCATGCCAAATTTATTGCATCTTTAATGGTTTCTTATTACCAGTAGCAGTAGTATTTAAAACGTTCTCTAAGATGAGACCCACCGTTAGCTCAAGAAGGGAAAGTATGTAGCTCAGTGACTGGGGCCTGGGTAATCCCAGCCCTCATCACCCGCAGCCCTGAGTTTATTTTACATATGGGATTTCAAATAAGCTTTGATTCACACTTTTCCTTTTTAATGTGAATTTGCTGCCAACATTTTAAAATTCTAACTTGCAAATAAAAACCCAGATTTCGAACTTCTCTTAGGCAATGCTGGTGCTGCATTTCTACGTGGCAAGGATCCACTGGAGCTGAGCCTGTTTTTTTAATCTGGATACAGTGTCCCATTCTCCAAAATCATTTTTCTTTTTAGGTTACCTGTCTGGCCCCTGTGGGCATTTGAGTTGGCAACCACCTGTTAGACGATAAAGTTCAGACTTAAGACTGCCACTGAAGACTGTCAAAAACTAGTGCTTTTAGCTAATTGCTTTTGAGAGCTTTTGGTGTCACTATTTCCCCAGAAAAGGAATTGGTAACTTTCCCCACCATGGAGCATTTCTTCCCTTCATTCAACCCATGAGGACTGCTTCTTCGTTATGGTTATCTCTTAACCAAGCCACATCCAAATTTCAACTCATAATTCAAATATTACCTCTTCTATGAATCCTCCCCTACTACTTCAAACTGAAATATTTGTCTCCACTCTTGATGTGCAGCTAGCAGAGAATAGGAATTTCAGCTTATGGTTTAGACTTTTCCATTGGAAAAACCCTAGGGTCATGCATATGTATAGGAAGTCACAATTCCTTGTTGATTTTATTTTCATTGGTTTGGTCAAGAACCTGCTTTTTGTTTCATTCATGCTTTGTTCTTGCTGTTTATTTGTTTGGTGTTCACTTTCCCAAGAATAAATTATTCTCCAGAAGTCATGAACTAGTCTTTCAGGACCTGCGCATTATTTTAAATGACAAAAAAACTTTGCTTATTTGACCATGTTTGTGGCATCTCTTTGAAAGATTTGCCTAGGATCACAATATTGGGCCTGAAGCCCCATATGGCAACTACTGGTTGAAACTGAGTAGCAGAAGTCTCCCTTAACAAAAGCATAGGAGCTTCAGTTTCCTGCAGTCCTCACCATCCCCTGTTGCGGTGCCCTTGATTCACCTTGATAGTCTATATTACCTACCTCCTCCCAACCCCAGAAATAGCTTGGTTTGAGACTACTTAGTCTACACAAAAATAAGATTATTAAAGAAAAAAATAAGTGATAGTCACTAAGAGGTTTTGGCTGTTAGAAATGTAGTAGCAAAAGATCAACTGATAGCATCTAAAATAAAATACCACATACTTATGTCTAGTATATGTTTTTTGGAAGCATTGAACCCCCTACCATGTCTTTGGAAACAAAAACCATATCGTTTGAGGTATCACTTCTACATTTCCCAATAAAAAGAAAAATTTCTCTTTGATGAGGGATAAATGTGATATATTCAGGGCACACAAAAAGAGAGAAACCATGCTGCACCAGTGGTTCAACCTCCCCCTCCTTTCCTGAAGGGTGTTTTGTGGAGAAAGATGACCTCATCCTCAAAAATAGAGACATTTCTTGAGTGTTCATAATGTACCTTTAATCGTCAACTACAGTTTTATTCTTCATGTACATATCTGCTCTTTTTTGGAATCTACTTCCCTTTCAAGACACTGCACATGATCAATAGTGCTTATGACCTATGCAAAATGCACCTGTGATTCTGGTCTTAAATCACTGCTTTCAAGCTTCAAGCAAATCCCCCTTCCCAGCTTTCAGTGATGTGATAAACAAGTGTATTTTCATCCTGCCTGTACCCTCTTTAATTCTGAGGATGTATATGCCATTCCTACTCAGACCTTGTATCCCTGCACTGATTCCCACTATGCCTTTTAACCTGTTCTCATGGAGAAATCATTCTAGCATGCTGAATGCACTCGGTCTCCTTTCTCAGGACTTCTCTCAGGACACACAGACTGAATTACATGTAGAATTCCTGAAATGGGAAGTTTATACAAACAGAGAAATTTATCAAGCACCATAATTGTTTTTAAAATTATATATCATTTTCATAATCAAGATGAAAACACAACTCTCAACCTGACACTTAATAAATCTCCTTTTCAAAGTCTTCTAGCTGATATATACCGTCTGCATATAGCATCAATGAGAGAGACAGACTCGCATATGCCATGTCATGGAGCTTTCCACGGGGAAGTTTCACAGTATTCTCATTGGCTGCTGTCCACTCGGTTTAGGCAGATATTTATTTTCTACAACTGTTAGCTCCATCTCCAAACAAAGCTGAGAAAGAGATCCAGAGAGAGCCAGCAAGAAAGAGAGTACACACACGCTAAAGAGGAATATGGTCAGTACACACTTGAACCTATGTCACACCCACTGTGGATCTGTTGAATCATCCATCCTGACAAGCTGGTTTGTGATGGTGAGACTTGAACAAATCCATATTTTCATTATATAGCGCCTAACCACTAACAAGAGCAATCAAAAGCCAGCTAATTGAATTATCCATGAGCCCATTTAAAGAAGAAATATTGCTCAATAAAATTATACAGCCTTTCTCAAGCCCACCCCTCCAACTCTTTTATCTTTTCTCTAAGGTATATGTACGTGACATCCATGACAAAGACCCACAGCTCAACAGAGACTGACCCAAGAGACATGGAGGCCAGTTTCTCCACATTCACAGGGGCCAGAGTAATGTTATGCATAAGCAAACAAGAAGCTTACTGTAAAAACATGATGCAAGGATTTCTGGAGAAGGACCCACCATCTCATTTGCTGGTCTAGAATAGTCCACACACCTGTCCGCTTCTCTGCCTGAAATTCTACCGGCCTAGTTTCACTCCGTCAAGGTAAAGTGTTATGGCCTAAAACAATGTTCTTTAAAAATATCTGCCCCAGGCTAACTTGAAGTTGCATCAGTCAGTTTTATGGCCAGTGTCTGCCTTTGCTTGTTTCTACCCATGGAAACCATGTAATTGAAGCTGCTGTGTGGAGGTGGTGCCACAGGAGAAGGCTGAGGAAGACAGGGATTGTGAAAAATTGTGAGGGCACTGGCAATTTAGGAAGTTGACATCCCCAGAGGGAAAAAGGAGATTCTGAAAGACACACACACACACACACAAACACACACACACACACACAGTTGCAATGGTGGACTTTTGAGGTGATGAGGCACATAAGTCAGAGAAAAATATGGAGGCATCAAAAATAAATTTTCCTTCCCAGTTTTTTGTGCGTGTGTGTGTGTTTTTTTTTTCCTTCAGTAAGCCTTGATTATACATGGAGCAAGCCCCTTTAGCATTCAGGAGTAAATTCTCACTTCAGCCTAAAGAATGCCGTGTGCTTAGCTGGCTCCTCTAGCCCCCAGAGGAGGAGGCCAGGAACAAGCCTGCGGGGGCTCCCCAGCTGCCTCCCAGGAATAGATTTATTTGCACCCAGCAATTTAGGCTTAGGTGCTCTTCTAAGTAAAAACAATTATGCTCATTCCACCCTGGCACTTGGGTTAATAATTCCCAAATGAGTCAGTAAATCAAACAAGCACACTTTTACAAAAGATCTTATTTTCTCTGATTCTTTAATTCATTTAGCTAGGGCTGGCCCTTGGCTAAACTGTGGACTAGATAAAGACTATTCATTATTGGCTCCCTATATCCCAGGCCCCTCTGTCATTGTGCAGACACACACTGAGTGCCCCTTTCTTACTGTAGAGGTCAAGATACTGCTGTGGTCCCTTACCTGCATCTGCACTCTCTACCCAGCATTCCCCCTCTTGCTCTCAAAACCCACCTGTCCTGTGTTCTGCTCTCTCAGAGATGGGTACTGTTCCTTCCAGGGTAGCTTATTAGTAGGTAGAATATAGGCTGTGCAGCCTGGCTCCCTGAGCTCAATTCCCATCTCTGCCATTTACTAACTCTGTGACCTTGAGGAGGTTACTTAGCCTTTCTGTCTCAGTTTCCTCATCTACGCATTCAAATAATAGAATCTACTTTCCAGGGTTGTTATAAGGAACAAATGTTTCATATATATATAACATTTCTGGTGTGTGTGTGTGTGTGCATGCGTGTGTGTGATTAGTGTGTGATTAGTGCTGTGCCTGGCACTTTCCATGCACCCAACGAGCATTTGCTATTGCTACTATTATTATAAATGACATATAAGTCATAGTCCTCCAATTGTATGGTCTTCTTCTCCAGGCTGTTCACACAAATTTTCTCCAATATGTCTTCTCAGCTCCTGGAGAAAGTTTGAAGAGGCAGTAAAGAAGTGCTTTGATATCATTTATACCATGAAAGTGATAGAAAAAATAACTTATTACTCATTATCATGTGGGAATTTTATATATAATAGCAAATATCTCCACAATTTGGTCTCATCTTCAGCAATCACTGGGTGGCTTCTGATCCTGAAACCTCCCAATTTACAACCCTTTTTTGCCTTGCCACCAGAGCTCATCTTTGTAAATAGTTATGGACTGAACCCAAAGATACAGCAGCCATAGAAAACGTTATACAAGCCTTTTTCTATGGACTATTCATTTAAAAATAATAAAACTATAGCTTTTACACGTCTGAAAACAGGTATCAGTATACAACTCTGTTCAACAAGCAGCAGCCAGTTGTTTTCTGAGAGACATTACTAAATGTGTGTGGCTTTGTGTATCGTTTTAAGAACATTTTTTTCTTTACCTCTGGAATTTAGAAACTTATTATATTTTCAAAATTGACTCAGCAGTGAAGAACTGAGAAGTCAATCTCAGCTATGTCTATTAATAACTCAGAGATCTTGTGAACATTCATTATCCTCCCCAGGACTCTATGTGTCTATCTGGGAAATGGTAAGGGAGAGAAGGGGAAAATGATCTTACAGAATTGATTCAAGCTTAAACACCCATATGTGAGAACACCTTATAAACTGAGATCATCACAAAATAAAGATCATTATTGTTATGTTGCAATAATAGTCAATGTTTTTGAGCTGTTATTATGTACTGGGAACTCTCTTAAATGCATTTTCTAAATTATCTTGCTCAATGCTTATAACAACAATATAAGATACAAATCCTTATTTCCCCCATCTTACAGATGAGGAAACCAAGCCTTAAAGTTGTTGCATAACTTTCTCAAGGCCACATAGCGAGTAAGTGATAGAGCTGTGAACTTGATTTCACTAACTAGATTATTAGCATCTATACTATAGTTCCAGCAGAAGTAGAGACATCACTGCTTCCACTTCAGCTGCAAAGATGATTGTCATCCTTTACACCTGTGATTAGTTTCTTATTGCTGCAGTAGCAAACTACCATGAACTTAGTGGTTTAAAATACAAAAATGTATTACCTTGCAGTGAGATCAGAAGTCTGAAATGCATTTCAGGTGTCTTAAATTAAGGTGTCAGCAGGGCTGCACTCCTTCTGAAGGTTCTAGGGGAGAATCCATTGTTTGCCTTCTCTAGCTTCTAGAAGCCACCCACATCACTTGGTTCATGACCACTTCCTCTGTCTTCAAACCAACCATTGTGCCACTCCACCCACTGCTTCTGTCGTCACATTTCCTTCTCTGACTCTCACTGGAGGCTGTATCTTTCACTTACAAGAATTCTTGTAATTACATTGAATCCACTCAGGTAGTCCAGGATAATCTTCCCATACCAAGATCCTTAATTTAAAAACACCTGCAAAGTCCCTTTTGCTGTGTAAGGTAACCCATTCACAGGTTCTGTGGATTGGGATACGCACATCTTTAGGGAGAGCCCTTATTTTGCATATCACACACTGCAATGACCAAGTTATAAAATTACAATTAAAAATTGTTTCTAATGTATAAAAAGGGAAAGGAAGCAGATTGCTTCCACCTTAGCACATTTCCTGAGATGAAGTTCCATATTTAAATGAAGCATTGGAATTGATATTGTCTCATTAATGCAGTAAAATGATTAATGTGATGTGCAATAGAGGGATGAAGAAAATACACAGGATCACCTCTTTTCAACACTGATGAGAACGAGCTGGCCTTGGGTGAATACAGGAGTTCTGTTTCAAGTGATGAGATTCGGCCCCATAACATAGATAACTGAAATATCTCTAACTATGGACCATTAGACAGCATTTGAATTATCACACTGCCAAATCTACAAACTATGAGTTTCTATTCCTAGCTCCCAATTCAAGAGGGTGAAATATACATTGATTCAGGTTCAGGAGAGGATGCTCTGCCCTCACTGGGGAAATCAAATTGCTGGCCAAGGGCAGAGGAACCTAAAACGTGTGTTAGAGAAGAGAGATGATGGGCAGAATTGTAGCTTTTCCCATAAAAACTCCTGTAATAAGTCGTGACCAGTCAGCCACTCCCTTACTATGATGATGTCAACTTAACAGGGGTCACAAATGGATCTGGGTATTGCAAGGGGTGAGCAGTAACAAATGCTAATTTTCCCTACTCGTCTCATCCAGACCCCTCAGAGTCTCCCACCAAATTCCTGCTGCCAATGTCTGCATACTTAAGCCAGAATTTGCTTTTTTTCTTGGAACTACAATCAAACCATACTATTCGTGGCCAGCAGGCTGAAAGTGCCTGGAATTTAAAACCCTCTAGGAGTAGCCCTTTGCCAATGACTCTCAGAAATTGGCATGTAAATCTCCCACACCCTTGCTTCTCTACTGGGAAATTTCTGAAGCATGTGTTTTGCCCTATTTCCTGGAGTTTCCCATGGGATTAAGCTCTGGTTGCTCACTGGGATATCTGGCTTAATAATGTTTCTTTTATTGATTGGCTGTCTTATCTTCACTGTATCATATTAAAGCGTTTTGCATCTCCAAAATAAACCTGGATCTACCTCAGGATCTAATTCTGGAGTAATTACACAGTTGAAACTTGGGTGACCACCCATCTGGTTTGGTAAGGACAGAGGGTGTTCCTGGGACATGGGACTTGCAATTTTAAAACCAAGACAGTCCCAGGAAAAGCATTTCAAATTTGCCTAGAACTTGTAGCTTTTCAGGATGTGGGACTTTCAGTACTAAAACCTGAGAACTCAGGTTGGAACTCAAAGTGGTCCTAGGAAACAGATCTCTAGAATTGGTCTTTGCAGCTAGAAACTAGCAAAATGGCAACAAAATTACCATTGCTAGTCACGAGTGGAATGGTGTGCTATGAAATCATAACTGCTGAGACTCTTACCTAAGATTGAATTGGGATGGGGCACAGCTGGAAGAGGATGCACTAGCTTATGCAATTTCTCTAGCACTTGAGAGATAGGGTGGCATTGGCCATTGGAAAGATTATGGAATTGGATAGTTGGACCAAGTACCATCAATGAGCTGAAAGAAGAAAATGACAGGCTCAAGTGAGCTGAACACCAACCCAGGGTTCAGTATGGAAAGCCAGAGGCCTCTCCGGCATCATTTAAAGAGACTCTCATCTTCTGCAGGCAGAGAAAAGATCAGGCTGAAAATCGGGGCTAGGACCTGATGTGAGAGAACTGTCTAGAGTGTTGAAGCAACAGCCCCAGCCAACATTCTAAGGCAGAGCATAGATAAAGAAGATGGAAAACCCTGAGATATGTCCAGGGAAAGGGACATCTGTGTAAATGCACTCCAGACTCTTGAACTCTCAGATTCTCCTTAACCCTCTGAGACTTCAGAAGTTATCTACATCTTATTCTTAGAATATAGCATCCTTTCCTTGCTGGGAGACCAAGCAGAAGCTTCACCTAGGAGGCAGCCTTGGGAGATGATACTTGCCTTCCTCAAGATCTGTCCCCACGTTCTAATATGGCTTGAGTAAGGAAGCACTTACTCTGCTTCAAGAAGTAAAGAATTATTTAATAACTGTGTTTCAAGTTCTGGTTAATAGGTAGCTACCGAAACTAGGAAAACAGGTGTGGCAGTGAACTTTGAGAGTTCTGTACCCTTGGGGTAGGGGAAGGGAGCAAAATATAGTGCTGGGTAATGGAGTTTATTGATATGGAGGCATTCACCATACAAGGCAAACAAAGAATCAAACCATCCCACCTCTTGCCCCCCGCATACATACACACACATGAGTATCTACCGATGACACTTAAGAGTTGGATTATAAATTCCTCTGCTCCTCAGCCCTTAGGTGAGGTGTTTCTGAGTTGTGTGCTTTACAGATTTCCCAGAGTTTCTTCAGGGGATTAAGTTTCTATCACGCACTATGGCAGGTGGCTTGGTAATTAACTCTTTTTTGACTGCCTTCCCTTTCCTTTCATACTTCCCCACTCCTGTTCATGTTTTCTTACCATCCAAATAAGATGCCTCCACCAAAACAACTGCCTGAAGGTCTGCTTGTGGGAGACCCTAAACCAAGGCATAGAGGTACATATCTCATTATAAAAACTTCAGAGCATAGTCTACCCCAAATAAATAAAAGACAAACATACGTAGTACTAGATTAAGAAATTGAGGATCATAAACTTGTCTAATAATGTAACTAGTGCTATAACCTTAGATCTTAAAATAGTGTCTGGCAAATGGTAGCTACTTGTTAACTGTCTGTTAAATAGATGAATAAACAAATGAATGAATAATATTAACCCCAATCAATTAAACTCAGAGGTTGGCAAAGCTTTGCCTGTAAAGCACCAGATAGTAAACAGTTTAGGCCTTGCAGGCCATACAGTATGTGCTATGACTATTCACCTCTGCTGTTGTAGTGTGAAAGCAGCCATGGACAATATGTAATGAATGAGTGTACCTGTGTCTCAAGAAAACTTTATTCACAAAAACAGCACATCAGATTTGGTCCACAGGCCACATGTCTTCTTAGTCTATTTTGTATTGCTATAAAGGAATAGCTAAGGCTGGGTAATTTATAAAGAAAAAAGGTTTATTTGGCTTGTAGTTATGTTGCCTAGAAGATTGGGCATCTAATAAGGGCCTCAGGCTGCTTCCACTCACAACAGAAGGTGAAGGGGAGCTGGAGTGAACAGATCACATGGAGAGAGAGGAGGGGAGGTGCCAGGCTCCTTTTAACAGCCAGCTATGGTGGGAACTAATAGAGTGGGAACTCACTCACTACCCTCCCTACTCCCCTGACCCCTGGCTCCCAAAGGGAAGACATTCATCTACTCACAAGAGGTCCATCTCCATGACCCAAGCCCCTCCCACTAGGCCTCATCTTCCAACACTGGGGATCACATTTCAATGTGAAATTTGGAAGGGACAAGCATCCAAACTATAGCAACATAGTTTGCCAATTGCTAGTGCACATAAAAATTAAAACTTCATATCTGTGAAGGGGAGTCCAGAAAACTTGTGATTTCTCTGATGGCTATTTTGATACTTTTTAAAATGTAAAAGTAGGTCAGTCATGGTGGCTCATGCTTGTAATCCCAGTGCTTTGAGAAGCCAAGGTAGGAGGATCACTTGAGGCTGGAAGTTCAAGATCAGCCTGGGCAATATAGTAAGACCTCATCTCTACAAAAAAATTTAAAAATTAGCCAAGTGAGATGGTGCTTGCTTATAGTCTGAGCTACTTGGGAGGCTGAGGCAGGAGGATGGCTTGAGCCCGGAAGTTCAAGGCTGCAGTGAGCTATGATTGCATCACTACACTTCAGCCTAGGTGACAGAGCGAGACCCTATCTCTAAAAAATAATAAAATAAAATCTAAAATTATTTTCCAAGGAACCGATTTCTCATTTTTTTGTGGCTCTGCTTTGCTGGAAGCTTAATTTGCCGTTTGAGTGTCTCTACATCCCACAAATTACTGTGAAATGCAATGTTATCAAAATGAAGAGCAGAGGCAGATTCCATAGCATGCATAAAAGTAAATAGATACATTAAAATACAGATGTCAAGGTTTTGGAGGAGAAATGTAAAGAGAGTATCTAGTAGGTAGACCTGATTTTGTTTCCATTCCTACTAGAAAAAGTACCATCAGACTCTACAGGTAGTTCATGCTCATGGCTTAAATGCCAACATTTGTCACATGTAGATTAAGGTCTTTATCACATCTGTTAAGATTTAAATAGGCAACCTATGGGGAGTAAAATTAAAAAATCATCAGGGGAGTTCTCCTTGGCTCCTCCATCTAAAGAAGTCCCCACCCCCACCAACTACTCTGTTTCCCAACACACTACTTTATTTCTGCCATTGGACTCATCATATCTGCAATGTTCATATTTGAAAATTGTCTGTGCTAGTGTTAGAAAAAGTCGTGAAGACTTTGAAATGGACCAGAAATGACTGCTATAGAATGCTGGATGAAGTTTAACAGATACTCCAGGGGTAATCTGATTTCACTGGGTACCCACACACTTTTGATTGTCTTTCAGGAGAAAGAAGTTAAATTGCTGATGGTGTCAGTGAAGTAAACATTTCCTGTCCAATGCAAGGCAAATTATTCCTGCTTGTGGCAGTGAAAATGAATATTGTCCAGTAGAGATTATAAATCTTTGTAAATCCAGTTCTAATTTGAACCAATTATAAACTCTTCCTGTTCCCCTTATTAATTAGTAAGTCACATAAATCTTTGACATGTGTTCATGTTGTATTTGTGGGAGTCATGATTTTACCTTTTTGAAAATTATCCTTTAACACTAGACACAATATTCATAAGTGAGTCAGATAGAGGATGTTGTCTTATTCAATATCGTGCCAGGCACATAATGGAAACAATAAATATTTGCTGGTGAGTGAAGAAATGAACAAATGAAATAACAAATAAAGTGAATGAAGATGTCCAAATAGGATGTAAAGCCAGGGGACATACCTAGCTTCAGTATAAAACTTTCAGAAATGCCAAGTAAGAGTGTAAGTTGTTCGCTGATCAAGAGCTCCCAATCAGAGTTCTGTGTCCTAATTTATGAGATGTATCTTCTCAGAGGATTTCTTTCTTTAATGAGTCCAAAGTTCCACGTGGGTTAGAGGAGGATTTAAAAACATTGTGAGGACATTGGAGGACTCAGAGTAGTCACAGGAACCTGGGGATATCTAGGTGAAATTTGAGTACCAAAACAAAAAAGAGTGCCATTGAGAAGGGATGGTTTGATGGAGATGGCCTGTTTAGGGCCATTGTTTAATAAAAATTCTCTAGCAAATTCATCTGTCAAGTTGAGAGAAGATCTCAATACTTAGAAAATAAGAGAAAGAAGAGGTCATGGTGGTTTCTTGACAGCAAAGAGCTATTAACAATCACTCCAGTGTGGTGAAATTCAGTACAGAAAGCATTTTGAATGGGGATATTCCATTTCAAAAATCATGAAATCATAATATTGAGAGTCAAACAGGTGTAAATAATAGCTTTGCACACTTTTCATTGACAGAGACACCTTAGTAATTTATGGAAAAAAAGACTTCCTTAAATTACAACAAAGATGAGGAATTCTGGAGTCTGTCCTTTATCTTCTCAAATTGTCCTATATTCATAGAAATTATAGAATGCAAAGAATGTCATTTGTATTCTTAAAAAGACTCTCCAACATTTAAAATTATTTTAGAAGAAAATTAATTATGTAGTTTTGTCAGCTAGCTACCTGGTGTATTTTTTAAACGATAGTGTTGTTAAAAAAAAACACTTCTCACCTAAATTGACTTATCTTGACAAAATATTTCCATACATCTTTTCAAAGCCTGTGAGTCAGAGAAATCATGATGATAATTTGCAAATCATGTGAAATACTATGATATAAACAGTGCCATATATTAGAGGGTAAAAGTTCAGAAGTGATATATACAATCTAAACGAGAGTTTCTTAACCTGAAAACTAATGTCATTTCGAGCCAGGTAAGCCTTTATTGTACAGAACTGTCCTGTATTAAAGGATTTTTAGATTTTACTGACCTCTACCCATGACATGCCAGTAGCCCACTCTTCCCTAGTTAGGACAATCCAAAGAACCTCCTAGACTTTGTCAAATATCCCCTAGGTGGCAAAATTGCCCCTGGTTAATAACCACTGATCCGAATCCATGCAGTTCTAATAGGTTATTCAATTTTAACTAGTAAATATCTCTGCCAGATCTGATTCTTAGTAAGAATCTTAAGAACTATTCTGTTGTCTTTTCTCCAATAGAATTGCAGTGAGTTCTGCCAGGAAGAAAGCACAATAATAGTAGAAATTGAAATGAATATAATAGAAACATTTATTCACTTCTTCTGTAATCCACATACTCTAAGCCTAGCATATGGATTAGCCTATGCAGTCCATCTCCTCCAACAACCCTACGAGCCAGGTATATTTATCATCCCTATTTTAGATGAGAAAACTGATGGTTAACAATAATAAATGTGTGCATATAGTTGCCAAAGTAGAAAGTCATCAAGCTGAGATACAATACCAGGCAGGTTGACATAGACTGTACTTTTAGTATGTGTGCTGAGAAGTAAACACTGTTTGTTCTCACATTATGCAGCTGTAGGAAAAGATACTTTGGCTTATGGGCCAAACAGTGGCTGGTGGGTCAAATCCAGCCCACCACCTGTTTTAGCAAATCAAGTTTTACTGGAAAGCAGCCACAACCATTCATTTACTTATTGTCTTTGGTTGCTTTCACACTAAAAAGCTAAGTTGAGCAGTCACGATAGCAGGGCTGGCTAAGATGACATATAATTATTCTCTGGACTTTTACAGGAAAAGTTAGTCAATGGCTGACCCTTGCTTTAGAAGCTGAAAATCTGGCCTCTTAAATAGTAAGTGGCAGAGCCAGAACTTGAATCCAGCCCTATCTGGGATCGAGGCTCTTACCCATAAGGCTCTGCTGAGGACAATAGGAAAGGCAGCCAGCACAAAGGTAGGGCTTACTATATGTCAGGTACTTTTGTACACATTCCTATCAGCAAACTCATTTAATCTTCTCAATAACTCAGTGAAGTATCATTACGTGCCATAGCAGACGATGGTGGTGCCCAGCCCAAATCCCCAGCCAAATCCCCTCAGCATTCACTTCTACACCCTGAGGGCTTCTATTTCCTCGCCTTATGAGCACATTGGATGCAAACACAGGACAAGTGGCAAGTGCCATAGCATAAATGGCCCATATGCAGCCTTCAAAGAGTCTGAGGGTGATACATTGCTCAGGGGCTCTTCTATACTCTCTTGAGTACCCACATCCTCACAGTGGTAACTGCTTTACTAATACATCCTTCAATGGTTTTTTCTTCTTCCCTACTGTAATTCCTCACTTCCCAATCTATGTTTCCTGGCATCACCTTCCAAAGGAACTATTTATAGTTGAATTCTTGTTTCAGAGTCTGTTTCTGAGGGAATAAACTACGATACACCATTTTTACAGGCAAGAAAACTAAGGCCCAGAGAGGTTATGTAACCTGCACAAAGTCACAAAACTAGTAATTGGAGATGTGAGCCAGGACATCTAGCTCCAGAGTCCACATTCTTATCCACACCACTCCCACAGAACAGCCATTTATGGGAGTATCTGAGTATTACTGTTCCCCTTTCTCTACAAAGCAGGATAAACGCATAATCATGAACAACATCTTTGGGAGTTTATTCAGAGCGGGATGAAAGCCATTTGAGGGTGGAAAAAAAATATGCAGAAAATGTTCTCTCCCTGCTCCTTCCCCTCACCACCTAAAAAGGACAGAGCTTCTGTTATGATGGCAGTCAATTTCTGTGTTGCCAGACAAGTGAGAGGGACAGAGGGAAACTTTCCTCTCTCCAGTCGTAGAAATTAACATCTGTACACCTCCTTTGCTTGTGCTCCACTACCAGCCTCAATTGGGAAATATTCCCTCCAACTCCAAGTAACCTATCAGGGCTACCATTTCCCCAGGCCTGATAGTAGTACAATTCTGTCCAGGTTCCATTACTGAGATGCAGAATTCATGTGTGCCAAGCAACACAAATGACATTTCTTCTCCTCTTCAGTGTTGGAAAACAAACAAATAATCACTCTCTTTTCTTCAGGGATTAAAAAAACCCACACACTTGATTGATAGACAGCTACCATAATTCTTCATCTGCAGCCCACAATCCTCATACAATGAGAGGCACTGAAATCATTCTGCCTGTCACATAGACACCTGGTGGCTGAGCAAGAGCTGCTCCCCAAGGAGAAAAGCCTTTCTTCAATAGACACTCTAGACACCGTAGGCAAAGATTTAGAGTTTATTTCCTTTTAATAGCCTATGAGTTGTAAAAAAGGAAATTTCTATGAACTTCAGCAGTCTTAGAGAAAATGAGTAATTAAGCCAAAGCCACTGCATATAGTTATACATTGTAGGCTATGATTGGTATCCCCCTAGAAATGTGCAGTAAAAAATGTGCCCAGCTATAATGTAAATTTGTGCAATCACTATGGAGAACAGTTCAGGGGTTCCACAAAAAACTAAAAATAGAACTTCCGTATGATTCAGTAATCCCACTGCTAGGTATATGCCCCAAAGAAAAGAAACCAGTATATCAAAGAGATATCTGCACATCCATGTTAATTGCACCATTATTCACAATAGCCAAGATTTGAGAGAAACCTCAGTGTACATCAACAGATGAATAGATTTTTTAAAATGTGGTACATACGCACAATAGAGTACTATTCAGCCATTAAAAAGAATGAGATTTTGTCATTTGCAGCAACATCAATGGAATGGGAGGTTATTATGTTAAATGAAATAAGCCAGGCAAAGAAAGACAAACTTCACATATTCTCATTTATTTGTGGGAGCTGAAAAAATTAAAACAATTGATTTAATGGAGATAGAGAGTAGAATGATGATTACCGGAGGCTGGGAAGGCTAGTAGGGGGAGAAGGGGAAACTAGGGATAGTTGATGTGTACAAAAATATGGAAAGGGAGAATGAATAAGATCTAGTGTTTGATAGTACAACAGAATAACAACAGTTGACAATAATATATTATATATTTGAAAATAATTAAAGGGTATAATTGGATTATTTGTAACACAAAGAATAAATGTTTGTGGTGATAGATGCCTCATTTATCCTGATGTGATTATTATGCATTGTATGCCCATATCAAAATATCTCATGTACCCCATGAATATATTTACCTACTACTTACCCACAAATTTTTTCTAATTTGAAAATATCCCTCCAACTATACATGACAGCCCTGCCATAAGCCCGTCTTCAATATTCATGAACCCCACATATGTCTATTTTCCCCAATACATTCTTATAATCATAGATATTATATTATTTAATATTAATGATTTGCAGAGGGAGTATAAGAATGTTTCCACTTGTCAGAAACAGAGTACTCAACTAACAGCACTTACATTTCATAAAGCAGGAAGAAAGGAAACAGGCAGTTCTGGGGTTTGTTACCTTCATGATTCCATGATGTCTAGGCTCTGGGTTGATTTCTCTACAATTAAGCTTGGGTTCCTCCTCTTGCTCAGAAGATGGTTACTGCAGCTGTAAGCATCATCCCTTACAAGCATGTGGCCAACTTCATCCATTCGCATAATCTGGAAGGCCCTTGCAGTGATTGAGTCTCCCTCTCTCGTAGGAGAGTGATGGAGTCAGAAGCTTCTAAAATTTCTGAAGTCTCTACAGCTATCATACCTATTAGGTTGGTGCAAAAGTAATTGTGATTTTTGCCATTACTTTTAATGGCAAAAGTTGTTGTGTCTATTGGGTGATTATATTGGCAGGTGTCTTCTTCAGGTCAGGTTGTTGTGCTCCTGGGTTCCATAGATGTAAATATTGCCAATATATCCCTCCCCTTCATTACTTACAATAACTTGAGTCTCTATTCCTTATAGCCAAATAGTGTAACCAATCCACTCAGCTGTTAACAGAGAAGGGTGTTTCTCCTTGACAGCTGGATCCAGTGAAATTATGTGGCATTTCCAAAAGAAAGAATAGATCCCATTAATTCTGGTTCATTTCAGAGATGAGGGCTTCCCATCTTCATTAAAAGTGGCTGCTACCCATATAAAATAAACTTTCCCTTCTGTGAAAATTCAGTTGGCTGCTATGCCATCCCTTTGTGGTGAGCCCCTTCTTGAATTTATGCATTTTTCTCATATTTTATGTGAGCTTTATTTCAACTGGAAGGTTGTTCCAGAATTATTTCATATCTGGGGCCAGGTATGTGGGTCTATGTCAACATCTGAAGAAGGATATTTAGAATCTGTATAAAAGTTTCCTAAGCTGAAAGATGTGCTATTGTCGCCACATAAGATCCTAGACTTGTCTAAAGAAAGAAAAACTGCTCTCACTGTCGGTGCTTTATAAAGATAATATGTGTAGCATCTGTAGCTTGCCTACCCTCATGGGGATGAGAACAGTTGAGCAGATAAAGCTCAACTACTTTCAATATTAAAACAGTTTTTCATAGATATCACACTAAGATAATGAATGAAGCAAAAGCTGTATTCAAATATTAAACACAGTGCTTGCATATTTCTAACAACTTCTGATGCAAGAGGTACATACTTGGTTTTTTAAAAAATCAATATGCCTTATGTGATACTATAATACTTGCCAGGATAAACTAATATCATCAGGCTTAACCTTATCTTAGATACAGTACAGCAGCATGTACAGTACCATTCAGGATCTAGAGCTAGGTCTCTGGGGATGACTGGAGGCTGTGTTCAAGTCTTAACTCTATCAATAGCTGACTGTCTAGCCAAAGAAGTTACTTAACCTCTCCAAATCTCTATCTACTTATAAGTTCAGTTGGCCTACCCACCATATAAAGTGTTATGTGAATTAAATGAGATAATCCATGAATGACCCTTATCATGATGCTTGAACTCAGTAAGCACTCAATCAATATTTATCATCAAAGAATCAACTTACCCAACATTGATCTTAACAATAAGACAATTGGACCCTAACTGGACAATTTTGCTGATTTATTTCTAGGATTCTTACAGCCAAACATTTGTTTAAAAAGTTGAAAATGTATCATTGCAAACTTAGCAGCACAACTGTGAGAGAGTGTATTCATCATGGAAAAATTTTTTAATAAAGTTGAAATTAAGTATTTTCTGGAATTAATGAAATAGTTATACATTTAGAAGTCGGTTAACTATGTCTTTGCTTTAAGGATAAATTATTTTATACTCCTACAATCAGAGTCACCTAAATATAACCTTATCAATATAGGCAGCAATACAAAAAAAATCATCTAGACCTGTGTTCCAATTTTTCATGTAGTACAGAAACTAAATAAAAATATGGATTTGTTTCAAATCCTGAAAACCGCCGCCAGAATCACTATATTCCATCCAACACTGCAGTTGCAAAAGTAAGTATCCTCAGTGGGAATATGGCTTACATAAATAATGGAGATAAGAGAAAAATGAAGGAATTACTGTAAATCTAAGAGGAGCTGTAAACCTATTAGGGGAAAGATACTTCCAGGGGGGCAAATTATTTAAAACATGTCACTAAGCTAATTCCCAAAACTTTAGTAATTAATTTATGACAATATCACTAGAATGCTACTTCAGATTATTTACAGCTCATAGTCAGTTATGAATAAAGTCTTTTCGAAAGTACAAAGTGTCCTCAGCCTAAGAATGTTCCCTTTGTTAATTTTCAAAATGGAATAAAACTTGAAAAATAACGAAATGAATGATTAAAGAGTGGAAAAGGACTAAAGAAATCATCTAGTCACAGAATAATACATACACATCATCTGTGCCACCACTCCCTTCCCTAGTGCCCAAGCTAGACATAATCAATCAAGCTCAGAACCGTATTTGTCCTTAAAGAATGCAAGGTGACTATTCCCAGTCGCTCCATACTAGGACTCAAGTCTCAAGACCAAGCCCATTGGCCATATATCTAGTAGCAGAATCTCATCATTCTACAGATGTTGAAACCAAGGCTTACAGGAGGAGCTTCCCAAGGCCGCACAATTTGTGGTAAAGGCAGAAGAGCCCACATTTCCTGACTATGTATCTAATTTTCTATAATACTAACTATGGTGGATTACATTATTGGTCCCAGTCCTTCAGCTCTTCCTGTATTCTTATCTTTTGCCAGATACCTTTGTAGTTTATCTAACAAAAGAAAATGTAATGCCCCACCTCTGAACATTGGACTCGCACATATGACTTTTTTTTGGTCAATGGATTATAGGGATAGGTACATTGTGCCAGTTTCAAGCCTAGGTCTTAAGAGGTCTCTTGTATTATTTTTCCCCTATTGCTCCTCTGCCATTGCCATGAGAAGAGCTCCATTTGGATAGCTAATGCCCTTCTACCTAGGCCAGAGAATGAGACACAAGGAGCAGACCCAGACCTCAGCTAACTGGCCCCACGACTCAGAGCAGAAACTCCCAGCCAAGATCAGCACACTCCTAGTTGTATAAGTGAGCCAGCTGAGATCAGCTGAGGTGCCCCCAGTCAACCCACAGAGGCCTGCAGAAAAAGAAAATGCTACTATTTAAGCCCTGAGTTCCTGTGGGTATCTTTCCACACAGCAATAGCCGATTCATACAATTACGATGAACATGTGATAATAATTACTATCAATTAACTTCTATATGTCAGTAATTTTGCCACTTTATGTCCAATCCTCACAACATTTCTGCAACAACAGTATTATCATTCCCATCTTAAAGACTGGGAGAAGAGACCCAGAAAAATTTTGAAACTTGCCCAAGGTCTAACACCTAGCAAGTGGCTGGACCATAATTTGAATTCTGGCCCAATTCTAAAATTCCATGTTCATTCTTTAGTAGCACACTTTCTCTCTCTCTACTTTCATCTCCTATTTGACTATCAATGTCAATATATCAATGTAAGAAGATGAAATTGTTTTCAGTGTCTTGAATGAAGAGAATATATCTGTTTCCTTAAACCATGGGAGAACCCAGGCCCAGGCTGGAGTGAAACAGCCAAGAGGGAAAGCAGCAGGAGGTGAAGTCAGGGAGGTGACTGGAGGCAGGATTATCCAGGGCCTCTTAGGTCACTGCAGAAAGTTCAGATTTTTTTCTGAGCAAAACAAAGAGCCATAAAAATGGACAACACAAGCTGCTTACCACGTTTTCACTCAACAGATATGTAATCATCATTTTGTAAGACACTAGGGTTTCAGTGACAAACCATAAAAGAACAAAAGTCCCTACCATCATTGAGTTAAAATGCCAGAGATAAAAGCAGAAGAATTAAAAATAAATGTAACACTATAATTGCAGTAAGTCCTGCAAGGGAGAAGTTCATAATCCTTTAAGAGTCTGAACTAGGAGAGAAGTTGAATTAGGAAAGAAGAATGAAGGAACAAACGAATGAAGTAACAGAAAGGGTTCTCATCCAAATCTAAGGACACAGTATGTTTGTGAAACATGGTACCAGACTTGGGTCTTCAAAGAGTAGAATCCTAAAATTGAGGACTGTGATTTTCCTAGCCTTTTTGTCTGAGTGGAAAAGGTTGGCTGGGATAATGGGCAGGGGGTTCTAGGTCAGAAAACAGAAATGAATTTTTCTTTCTTTTTATTTTTTACATGTATACATATGTAACAAACCCGCACATTGTGCACATGTACCCTAGAAATTAAGGTATAATAAAAAATAAGTTAAAAAAAAACAGAAATGAATTTTTCTTGAAGACTCCTACATGCATTCCTAGAAATAGCCCACTTCAAAATAAATGCCCTCAGCAACAACACAGGCAGGTTTTGACTCTGGCAAGCAACATCCAAGAGCCTGTAAAATGACCTGGGAAGAAAGAAATCTAGGAGAGAAAAAATGTTTAAATCCTGCAAGCAGCCTTAGCCTCTTTTAGAATTCAGAGGGAAAAAAGGCAAAAGTCCAGCCTCACTTTTAGATGCCAGAGAAAAAGAACTCATAGAAAATTCTATGAATAATGGACTCACTTCTTTATTTTTCATGTGTGGCTTCTGAGCAGTATTCTTTATTCTATTTGCATAGTTCTTTACTTTTAAAGGAAATTAATTAAGCAAGTTAATCTTTCAATTATTTTTTTAAAACAAGTCTTCTTCCATCCCTTATAGAAAAACTCAGAGGCTCAGGGGACCTAGGTGGCTTATAAAGAACAAAAATAATAAATTATTGCAAAGACAATTTTAACAGTCCCTTTTATCCTTCCAGTATCACCACTTTCTACTTTAAGTAAGTAGCAGCAGAATCACTCAACAAAGAGTGAAGCAAAAGGCAATCACCTGTCAGTTTTTTACATAAAGCAGTGTACTCTCTTTCTGTTAACATACAAACTCAGAATGGCATAATATAGGCTGGGCACGGTGGCTCACACCTGTATTCCCAGCACTTTGGGAGGCCGAGGCAGGCAGATCACGTGAGGACCAGCCTGGCTAACATGGTGAAACCCCGTCTCTACTAAAAATACAAAAATTAGCCGAGCATGGTGGCGGGCACCTGTAATCCCAACTACTTGGGAGGCTGAGGCAGAATTGCTTGAACCCGTGAGGTAGAGGTTGCAGTGAGCCGAGACCGTGCCACTGCACTCCAGCCTGGGTGACAGAGCAAGACCCCGTCTCAAAAAAACAAAACAAAACAAAACAAAAGAATGGCACAATTTAAATGGTGATTAAAATGAAAATTAATGTGTGCTTGAAGGTTTGAGGAATTGAACTGGAGTCACCAGCCTCTGTGCCTGTCAACTATAAAACAGTAGCAAAAATACTACCATTCTAAGATATGTCATGAAAATTAGTGCATAAACACATAGACTATGCACAGCTATAGTTGGTGCTCTATTTAAATATAATACATAAAGTTTTTGTTTGTGTGTTTGAGATGGAGTTTTGCTTTTGTTGCCCAGTCTGGACTGCAATGGCACAACCTTGGCTCACTGCAACCTCCACCTCCCAGGTTCAAGAGATTCTCCTGCCTCAGCCTCCCAAGTAGCTGGGATTACAGGCATGTGCCACCACACCAAGCTAATTTTTTTAATTTAGTAGAGACAGGGCTACACCATGTTGGTCAAGCTGGTCTTGAACTCCTGACCTCAGGTGATCCATCCACCTTGGCCTCCCAACGTGCTGGGATTACAGGCATGAGCCACTGTGCCCAGCAATATATAAAGTTTAATGTTTTCATTGATCAAAATTGAAAACAATATCTGCTAGATATAATGCACAAGGATGTAATCACTAGACAAATGTAAAGAATTATTATGTCTCAAACACTGGGGAAATTCTATATTGTTTAGTTTCCCAAATATAAAGTTATGTCTATAAATACAGTACCCTACAGGCTCAAGGCAGGTAATGCAAATTAGGGTAGGAAAAAACTGAAAGTGGAGGGGTGAGGAGTCTATGAAGAATGGAGGTCAGTCATGAGAAAAAGAAGGCTCATTGTGGCCAGGTCTGTCAATTTTCCCATTAAAGTAGAAAATCTGGATTTTTTTATATTTTAAAACTATTGGCAAATAATGCAAAATTGTTGAACAATATGATAACAGCACGGATGGTGTCCAGCCAAAGCTCTTTGTAAGATATGTTTGCAATCTCTACTCCAGGTCCATGATTTTCAAGCCATGGTATGTGAAGAACCAAGAGCTCAGATAGGAAATAAAGAATTGTGTTCCACAAGCCATACCTTCTTGGGTCCTCTATGCCCTTCCTTCACCAGCATAACCCAAATTTTATCTTTTACTGTAGATAAGATACATTCGAATCAAAGGTGAAGAAATTGAGAAAACTCTGGTTTATAGTGGGAAAAGTCCTAGAGAACATGGCTTTTGCCCATTCTAGACCGAAAGCTCTGGCTGACTGTCCTGCTTCTCCACACAGCTCCAGCACCTAGCACAATGCCTAACATAGCAGACACTCAATAAAGAGTTTTCAATACCTGAATGGAAAAAATGAGCAAAGTATTAGTTTCCAAACCTTTTCAACCCAGGTTCAGTTTCTAAACTTCTCCACTTTGAGTTATCCCTATCAGGAAAATGGGAGAAAAAAAAATCTGTCCTTTACAGGGATGGAGCAAAGATGCATGAAATAGTCTATATGATTGGCATAATGTTCTCAGTAAGAATGTTGCCATTGCAACTCAAAGGCATATATGTGTGTTCTCTAACTTTAATCCATGCATAAACTCTTGGAGAGTACAAAAACTGAATTTTGGTAACCCAAATTTGTTGGTTCCATTATTTTTAATCAGGTCATTTTACATGCAAGAAGGATATGTTCATGTAAAAGAATCTCAACACAGAGTCTTTCGGGAATGTAAACAATCATACAAGGTGGAAGAAGAGCAACTGGAATAAAAGGGATTTTTTCTTGTTTTTGGATTATGTCTTTATTTACAGCAAGGCACATGCCTTTATAATTATTAGCCATATTAATTGCAAATAAGATAATTAATGTGTACATTTGCAATAATCTTTGATGTTTGGCAGAAGAGAGGCACTGTCTTAATGCAATTTTCAAGACAATGTTACGTATCTTAGAGTTGCATAATCCATGAATGTGCAGGGACTGAGAGCACTGGAATCTTCATTGGCGATGTATGTGTTATTAAAGAAAAAAAGTTTTGAAACAGAAAGGAATTTACTACTTTGCTCAAAACTTTTTATTTTGTAAAAATTGGTTGAACAAAATAATTGGGATAAATGTAAATTATAAAAGGCTAGAACAGTGATTCTCAATCATTAGTGTTCATCAAAATCTCCTGAAGGGCTTTTTTAAACAGATTGCTGGGTCTCACTTCCAGAGAATTTGAATTAGTAGGTCTGGCAGAAGGAGGAAGGAAGGAATCAGGAATGTGCAACTCTAACAGGTTTCAGGTGATGTTGATGCTGCTGGTATGATGACCACACTTCCTGAGCCACTGGACTAGAGGAAACCTTAACAACCTTCTCGAAATAAGTGTAGATCATTAGTCCCACCACCAGAGCACCAGGAAAAATTACATTCTCTTTAGTCGGTATTAATATAGGCACTTTCTTGGACACAGAGTTTACATTAGAGCTTCAGAGTCATTAAATCAGAGACTAGGTTTCTTGACTCTACTCAGTTGAACCCCACCTATAGGAGCAGTGACCCTCCCTTGAGAGAAGGTTACAGAGAGACAGACTTCATTTGTTTATGGGACAGTCAGAGAGTGTTAAGGTGATTGGCTGGCTCAGCAGGAGGGGAGGCTTAAAGGGAATAGGAGCAGTTTCAAGTGACTGAACGATGGAGCAGGTGAGTAAAATTGCCTTGCAATAGTGTTTTTCTCAAGAAACACAGCAAGCCAAGACTTAAGGTCCAGTTACAAATGTTAAAAGAATAATCTGAATATCATCCCAAAAATATTTATTAAAATATAGCCATAAACACAAAACAATGTTATAGCAGATGCCCTCAATGTCCTGTCCATATCCTATCAGAAGGTGTCGTTCCACATACCAGCAGCTTCCTACTGTGCATGTCTGTGACTGCTGGAGGACTTTCTATGAACATAAATGCAGGGATGTGTTTGGCCCACCCACAGGGCAGATCAGAAATGTATGGAGTGATTAGCCCTGGGAGCATCCCCAGCCAATGTGCTGGAGTTGGCGGGTTAATACCCTGGTTTATTCACCCCTCCAATGGGACTTCTCTGAGGTATGTCCTTCACAGTCCCCCAGAAAGCCCCAGCAAAACTGAGTCTCAGTTGTCTGCATCAGCAACTCACTTATGGAAGCAACACATATTGGTTGCTTTCCCTTCCCTGTCTCATTTGCCCACTTGTATCTCTGGAGATCATCAATGACCTCCAAGTAAACTACCTGACTCAAATCCTTGTTTCAAGGTCTGCATCTGGGGTAATGCGACTCTTCATGGTTTAAAATAGTAAGAAATATAAGAGATTGTCTATCATAGGAGATCTATAAGATGAAATGCTACACAATCTTTGACTGGAGAGAAATTTGCAGAATAATAAGAATGACATCATATCAATCGTATAAAATACACACATGTACAATAGCATACATTTTCTTAGTGCATATATATTATATAAAAGCCTAGAAACGACCTAAAAAGACTCAAACTGATTATTATGACTCTCCTTGCACAGAAAGTTGATTGTTAAAGAGTACTTGTCCCTTATCCATAAGGTTTCCACTTTTATATGGTGATTATATTCATGTATTATTCTATAATAATTACTAAAACAATTAGAAATATGCATAATTGCTAATATTAATATGAGTAAAATCATCTATGAATACTCTGGAGAAAAACATTTTTTAAAATCTAAGATTTCAACAATAGAAGATTAAGCAAATGAATTATGCTATATTCAGAGAATAAGAAACTATGCAATTAATACAAACAAAACAGTAGCCATCAATCAACTAGTGCTGATATGGGGACCAGCAGATGGCAGGGCTTGGATGTAGACAGAGGACAAGAGAGACACAGCCCCTGCCCACTTGGAGTTTATAGTGTACTAGAGAAGGAAGATACTGAAGCAGGATCATGTACAGTGAAAGTCACATATGAGTTAAAATGCAGATATGGGTGACAGATTAGTAGAAAAAATAGGCTACTGAACTGAACATACAATAGCATCCCTTTTTATGAAAATAAACACTCACATAGAGTTATGCATTGTAAACAAGATGAGAGGTTACATAATGAAATGATAACAGCAGTGATCTCTTTGTAGTGAAATGAATTCAAAAACATCTTGGCTAAACATCTCTAAGAAACTAGGGTTGTTGTTTATCTTCCTACTTTTAATGTCATTGCTTTTCTGACGAGTATTGACCCCTGCATAGTTTTTTTAAAGTTTTTTTTTTTTAACAATAGCTTCTACTTTAAACTGCTTATAATTCAGCAAATGTGACTACCCTGAACCCTAGATTCTATAGATTAATACTGCAGCCATGCAGGCATCATTTATACATCCACTTGACATTCACTGAGCACCTGCTAGAGTTCGGGCTCTGTGCCATGTACTATGGATTCAGCTGTGAGCAGAGAGGAACGTGGCTTCTAGCCTCAGACAGCTTACTGTCCAGGAAAGAAGACAGGTTCTGCAAAGCACTGGACAAACTGTTACACTGACCTCGATACAGAATTCCTGATTGGTTACCCTGAAATTACACCTTCCCACCAACATTGACTAAAGATTCCTGGAACACAAAATCTTGACTTTCTAAAGGTTTTGATAATCTGTCTCAATTTTTCCAACTTTTTTCTTGATCATCACCTTCCCAAAGTGACTCACTAAAAAATCATAAGGAAGATTTTTCAGACTCATTGTTCTGAAATATGACAATGAGAGTCATTAAAATTATGATAAAATACGATAAAGAATTCTACAAGGCAAGACAGTCCATTAAACTACACATACTGTAGACAAAATTCAGCATCGCCCTGTGATTTCCTAATGCTTCTATCTGTGGTCTGTTAATGGTACAATCAGCAGAGAATCATTTATAATATAATAATTTAAATACCATCAGGCTTTTATGCAATCTATGGAAAGTTGTCTTGTGGCTTTCTTTGTCTTTCTTTTCTTCATTTCTCTGTTTCAGAGAGAGAGAGCACGCACACAATTTTCTTTGGATTGCATTCCCACTTGCATAAAATGGCATGCCGTGAAAATATGTTTTCTTCCTGTTGTCCTGTCTGGCCAAAAGATGCTTTAAAAGGATTTGCTTAAATTGGGCCTTCAGAGCAGTAGAATGCATCTTGCCAGAGACCTTCTCTCTCCACGTTGCCTCTGGAGTGATCTCTCTAAAATGCAAATCTTACTGTTTCTCTTCCCTGCAGAAACCACTGAAAAAGATCCCTTCCACATACCAGAGGAAAAGATTAAAATATTTATAGGCTGATTTTTTTCCACTAAAACTGAAAGTCATTTTACTGAACTGTATTTCTTCCAAAATGGATTGCCTACTTTATTGAGTAAAAGAATGTCATTGGAAAAAAATGGAAACTGTAGTTTAGACATAAAATATTAACACCTAGACATTTTTTAAAAGCAGCAACAAGAAGGTAACTTTCTAATCTTTCCACGTGAAGCAAGACTGTGGGCTTGGGGAGGGTCATATAGGACCCATGGTTTGTGGATGCTTCATTACAGGCTTCTAAGATAAAAGTACAAATTCTTCGACATGATACACAAGGCCCTGCACATCTGGTCCTTTCCTCTTTGGCGTCATCTCCAGACAAAAGCCCCTTCATAGGTCACCCACCTGCAGTTCTGCACTCCTCAAGTTTCTCTAGACACACTGTGCTCATTCATGCCCATTGCCTTTCTACTTGTTCTTTCTTCTGTCTGGAACACCCTTCTCCTACCCTTCTCTGCCTGGAAACAAGTGCACTCATTCTTCAAGACTTAGCACAGCTACCATTATTTCTACATTCTTCCCTGACCTCTCCCAAGCTATGTCTCCTCATAGCTCTATGTCATGGCTGCAATTATCGTGACATAGCTAACAATCACGTATTTGTCTGCTCCACTAGACTATGGGTCTCAGAGAGCAGGAATTAGTTCCTGGTGAGGGACTTAGCACTCAATAAGTGTTAGATAAGTGCTCAATAAGTGAATGATTGTACAAATGAAAAAACAAATGAATATCAATGTGGCAAGAAAGTATTCAAAATCCCTGGCAACGAAATGAGAGGAATTGCCCTTGAAGTCAGTATCTCTTTGGAGATCCACAGAGTAGCCTTCAAGCTGTAATATTTATTAGAAAGTGGCCAAGATTTGGGGGCAGGGCAGATAGATAAATAGGAGAGAGTTAAGGGACCCACCTTCACCAGTAATTGTGCAACTAGTCTAACCTCACATGGATTTACCAAGCCTTCTCTGAAGGTCACCTGTAGCCAAACTTGACATCCAGGAATTGGTGGGCTCAGAGAGAGTTTTCCTCAACTTGAAAGAGAGGTGACAGGCTCTACGACTTTAGGCAAAACATGCAATCAACTTATAAATGATGCCAGGGGATCTTTTTGTTGTATATTTTATTCACTATTTTAAAATTTACTTACAGTAAAATTCCTTTTTTTTTTTTTTTTTTTTGACAGAGTCTCACTCTGTCGCCAAGGCTGGAGTGCAGTGGCACAGTCTTGGCTCACTGCAACCTCCACCTCCCGGGTTCAAGTGATTCTCCTGCCTCAGCCTCCTGAGTAGCTGGGATTACAGGTGCACACCACCATGCATGGCTAATTTTTGTATTTTTAGTAGAGATGGGGTTTCACCATTTTGGTCAGACTGGTCTAGAACTGCTGACCTCGTGATCCACCCACCTTGGCCTCCCAAAGTGCTAGAATTACTGGAGTGAGACAGCGTGCCTGGCTGTAAAATTCCTTCCTTTTGGTGAACTGTTTCATGAGTTTCAACAAATTCACAGCCATGTAACTACAGCCAGTATCCCAATATGTGGAGCATTTCCATCACCTTCCCACCAGAATTTCCTTACACTGACTCTTTGTAGTCAATGCCTACCCTCAACCTTAGCCCCTGGACACCACTAATCAGTTTTCTATCCCTTTTTTGCCTTTTCCAGAATGCACATAAGTGGAATCATGTGGTTTTTTGTCTGGCTGCTTTCACTTAGCACTAATGCAATTGAGATTCAGCCCTGTTGCTGCATGTTTCTGTAGTTTGTTCCATTTTATTGCCATTACATTGCGTGGCTGCACCAGTTTGTTTATCTATCCAACCCATTAAAGGACATTTGGAGTGTCTTCAGTTCCTAGTGATTGAATAGCGCTTCTATCAATATTCACACATGTTTTTTGTGTGAACATAAGTTGCATTTCTTTTGGGCGAATACTCAGAAGTGGGATTTCTGCATCGTAAAGTAAATGTATGTTTAATTTGATAAGAAACTTCCAGTTTTCTGAAGTGCCTGTGTCATTTTTTATTCCCATAAAATTGTTTCACATCCTCGTTAGCACTTGGCATTGTCAGGAATTTTTTTATTTTTGCCATTCTAATCGGAATTTTTTAGATGAGATACTTGGAAATAGAAGGTGAGATCTTAAACAGATAATAATCATGTATAATGTTATAAAATAAGTTAGTATTAATGATATACTAAAAATGGAGAGGCTTTTTTAACCAAATATATTAAATATTTAATCAACCTAAGGAAAAGTATGAGGGAATATACACAGAACCTTGGGTTTGAGAAGACAGAGTATATGACTATTAGCAAAATAGGTTTGTGCTGAGTGAGAGATGCCTCAACATTGCGTGTGAGAAACAGCAGTCATTGAGCTGATAGGACCACAGGCTGGCCTGGCCCACAGATCTCTGGAAATAAAAGTCTAATTATAGATCATAAATCAGAGGGGTGCTTTGTTTCTTAAAAATAAATCTGAGATGACAAGATCTGGGAAATAAATTACAATTATTGACTTTTTTAAAAGGCCAAAGTGGTGACATGGTAAAGTAGGGGGAATATAAAAGTCCACTGGATGAGCAGCCCTATCTGTAAATATTGGGCAGGTGACCCAAAGCCAGGATCTTCAGGTGGAAATTAGAAGAATTTGTGAGCAAGCCCTAAGATGCCACCCAACTGGGCACCACTATATAAGGATGAATGCATAACCAATAATCAATAGATAATATATCTGGTTTGGAATGTGAAATTTTAAAATTTCCCCTTTCTAAAATAGTATCACATTTGCCAGCACGTGTCCAGCCCAAAATTCATCTCAGAATTCCTGTCCTCCCCAATCTATAGTGTTCCCAGTATCTTTCTCCTCCAAACTGTCAGGTAGACAAGGACAGAAGAGTCCCTACACTGTGGAACAGAAAATGTTCCTCCTCACCAAGCAAGGACATGAAAGGGCAATAGCAATTTCTTCACTGTCCACTCAAAGGAAGACAAGTACTAAAGCAGAAATCAGCATTTTGTAAAGACACTGGTTTATGCTTCCTGCTGAAAGCTAGGTCACAATAGAGTCCATTTAAGCTAACATTGAAGAGTATGAAGTCTGAAATCAGACTGCTTGGGCTCAAATCCTTCTCCCTTACTTGCTAAGTGTGTGACACTACTGGGCAAGTTATGAAGAGCTGTGCTGCAGGTTCCTCTTAAGTAAAATGAAGTTAGTAATGGTAGTACATTATAGGTTTATGGTGAGGATCAAATGAATTTATACAAACAAGGAGACTAGAGTAGTGCCTGGCACAGAATAAGTGTCTCATGTTAGCTGTTATGTTTACATTTGTCATTATCATCATAGTTAACAGCATCCTATAGCAAGTAAAGGAAGCATTCCAGGGACTCTCAGTCTCCTTTCATGCTAAAATCACATGGGTCATTTTTTCTTTCACAAGTCCAAGGTACTATTTATTTAGCTTAATCTATAATTTAGGTCATGGACACTGGAGGTGGTTATGGGTAGCAAGTAGGCAATTTTGTACCTGCAGAAGACACCACTGTCTCTAGTTTGTAGGTCAAAGGTGAAGAGCGATTTCACAATGAAGATCTTTGCTCCGGTCTATACAGCTTTGCTTCCTTACAGTGTGATTATGCTCTCATTTATTTCACATTGATCCTGTAACCTGTCCATATTTCTTCCAAATGAACTGATCTGAAAAGTACACCAAACTCCTAAGTGAAAGGTGATATGGGATATCAAATGATGTGTCTATTTGTTCATCATGTTTGATCCAAAGGAGGTTGTAAATTGTATTTCCAGCATTTATAAGCAGATAATGATGTCCTCTAATAAGGATTTTTTGATGGGGAAAACATATATTCCAGTTCCTCTTCCTACAGAAAAGAAGAAATACTGTCTGCTTTAAAAAATACTTCATATGCTAATTTTTTTCATTCCATCCATTCCTTAATAAGTAAATATCTAGCATGACTTAATCCAGAAAATCACAAACTGATATTTGTCATATCTCATTGGCTTACATGCATATAAAAGTACAATGCTCTCAGAGGAGGCATTGAAATTGGATGGAGAATGTTCTTGTTTAAACGATAAATGTCTAGCATAATGCAAAGAAAATATCAATGTCAGAAGCTAAATGCTTGCATTGTGAATGCCCTTAAAAAACATACAAAATAAAACTAAAAAGTACAACCTTTATAATCCAATGCTCCTAAAGGATATAAAGATAAATGACTTTTTTGAGGTAGAATGTTCCAGATATGTCAGGTGTTGAAAGTCAAAGTATAATCCCCAACTGTGAGGACAGACAGAAGGTGAAGATCGAAACAGCTGAGCAAGTTGGCAGAAAAGGAAGTGAGTATGAAAGCTCAGGTACAGAAAAATACGAGTGCTCACTTTTATACAATGAAATAGCAACTAGGTCAATGGAAAAACGTGGAAAATTACCAGAGATGTTATCTATTTCTGTGGAAAATTGAAGGCAATTTGACCACTTTTTCATTATTGTATTTCACAACTAGGTATTACCTTCCTAAGTGACTGTTGAGTATATATATTTTCCTTCAACCATTTATATATAAATGTTCTTGCTTCTGACTTAATTTTGGGGGAAATGAAAGGATATCATACATAGGAAGGAAGAGAATGAGGAATTGGGAGGTGACGAGAAGAAACAAGTTGAACAGGAGTAGGAAGCAAGTACTGAAAAGAATTGAAAAGAACTGAAAAGCGCAAGAGCAAATCATTAGTTTACACATTTTGACTTTCCCCCAGATTCTTGGCTCTGTAGGTCCTAAGGAAGATCTTTTTGTTTTCCTGGACAGGATGATATGAGGGTGAAGCTCAAGAGGAACTGATTTCTGTACAAGAAACGGCTTGAGGTTCCACTGAAGGAAACAGACACAGGAGTCTGGGAGGGAAAAAGCAGAGCCAGAGAGAAGGAGGAGTGGGAAGGGAAGTGGAACCAGGCAGTGGGAAAGGAGTGGTTTGGAGTCTGGATGAACATGGAAGATGACACAGACTGAGATATGGACAGGAGAATTTCAGCAAATTCTCACTCTGTGTTCTAGGATGTAATTCTTTTTGCACTACCTCTACAAGAGTCTGTCAACAAAGTCTTACTTTCTTCTAAAATTTTTGCCATCACAGTGGTGTTTCTTTTGGATATGTGAGTGAGTTGAAATGAGCTCTGGGTGAGGGCTGGATGCCCAGAATTTATATGGCATGAGAGTCAGAGGGAAAGAGGAGAGAAATGATGAAATCAAAACAAGGGTAGACTAAATATACCAACATTTGATAATTTTAGTACATTTCTTTCACATTTCTTCTCCATACTTTAGTACACTTGCTCATCTAGAGAAAATGTTTGTCTATATTTTAAGGCATTGTTTGAAAAAACCAAAAATCTTTTGAGAGCTTCAACTAATGAATCTCATATAGACCAGATAAGCTGTTACTTTGTTCTCAAAGATCAGGCAGCCAAAAACCAAAATGGTCTGAAAAAAACATGAAGGTACCTACATGATATTTAAGATTTAAGACTAAAAGTGCAAAGAAATCTCAGAGAATATAAAAATATCAAGACTTAGATGTCAGTGCACTCAATACGTAAATAGGTAAACACTGCAGCTTAGAGAAGGAAAAACTATAAGAAGATTCAAATCCGTATAATTTACAGATTAACTATTAAAAAACGCGTCCCAATGATTCTGGCTTGGTTTATCACAATGGGATATGATTCAAGCAATATCTAGATTTGAACAGAAAATGAAGCCACGGAAAAAATAATAGAAGATAGAAGTCATCCAATCTAACCTTCTGACAAATAGTGTATGTCTGGGTTATTTTGGGATGGATGTTCACACAATGAAGCCTAAAATTTTTTAAACAAAATTTTTAAACTTGCTTGTTTCATGTATTAATCATCCTTTTTAATTACCGGCCACTCTGCTAGGCTTTGGGATTTATGGCAAGCCTGCCACATAGGAACATTTCAGCAAATGGAAATGACGATTTTCATCTTTCTCCCGGCCATCTCCTCCACAAACGAGGTCTTTCCCAGTCCTTCTAGATTGGAATGATTATTCTTTCTTTGTCCTCACACCTTTACTCAGCACATACTTCTTGCCTTATATTATTTTTCATTTATAAGCACTGCCCACTATTTCCGAGTGCTTTGTGATAAAGTATCCTTTGATTCATCTTCTTCTTTGGCACCTGTAAGTGCTGGCACAGCACCCCACATAAATGTTTGTAGAATGAAATAAGAACCCAGATGGGATATAAGATTGGTCACCAGATGCCCCATAAGGAAATGAATTCAACATCAATTTCTCAATACAAATAAATTCAGGCCCCAATCCATACTGAATATTTATCTTTTTATAATAATGTTTGTATTAAAACATTATCGACTCAAACCTTCAGGTCTCTTCTCTTCCATAAGGATTTTTGTTTTCTAAAAATTGGCTGAGAATTGATTCTGAATAAGAACTGCTAAGTTAACATAGGAAACAATCCCAAAACTTGAAACTGATGTATAATAGCCAAAGAGTAGCAACATATTTTAGAAGCTTGATCATCTCAAAATCCATGATATTTCTTTTTTGTTGGTACAATTCTTTCTGGTAATGAGTCCAAACTCTTGTAAAGTAGTAAGTAAGCTGACTTGTGGTCTCTCTAAAACCACTAAAAAGGGGACATCCTTTCTATTCCTAAGGGTACATTGCTACAAGGAGCAAACCAACAGCATCTTTTCTGGGAAACCTCTCAGGCAAAATATACTGTATGAGAGATAGACAGATGGCTTAAAATTCCATCAAGTGGAGTATATACCCAAAGGATTATAAATCATTCTACTATAAAGACACATACACACAGGTTTACTGCAGCACTGTTCACAATAGCAAAGACTTGGAACCAACCCAAATGCCCACCAATGATAGACTGGGTAAAGAAAATGTGGTACATATACACCATGGAATACTATGCAGCCATAAAAATAGATGAGTTCATGTCCTTTGCAGGGACATGGATGAAGCTGGAAACCATCATTCTCAGCAAACTAACACAGGAACAGAAAACCAAACACTGCATGTTCTCACTCATAAGTGGGAGTTGAACAATGAGAATACATGGACACGAGGAGGGGAACATCACACACTGGGGCCTGTCGGCTGGTGGGGGGTTAGGGGAAGGATAGCATTAGAAGAAATACCTAATGTAGATGACGGGTTGATGGGTGCAGGAAACCACCACAGCACATATATATATACTTATGTAACAAACCTTCACATTCTGCACAGGTATCTCAGAACTTAAAGTAGAAAAAAAAAATCCATCAAGTGTGTGCTGGTGAAAAGAAAAATTTTTAAAGCATGAACTGGTTTTATTTTTATAATGTGTTTTACTGTTGTGATATTACTGTTTGCCATTATTAATAATGTCACCCATTTTATTTCCATTTATCTTTATTCTCATGATATTTTAAGTATATTCTCTAATTTCTTCATCTTACAAAACATCAAGTTAATATCCTGAAGAAAAGTTATTTAGATGGGAATTCAGCTTACACTTGACAGAAGGTTGAACATCAGGTTCTACTGAGGTTCTGATCATAGGATCTCTACAGACTAAGCAGGCTTCTTACCCAGGCATTTTCAGATATATTTGCCCAGTGGTTTTCTTAACTATCGTCCCATACCAATTTCTGACAGCTGAGGCTTAGGCAAGGTAACGAAACTAATGTGCATTCAGACAGAAAACCCCAGGAGGTTGAGACCATGTTGATTTTGTTTATTACCATATTTACAGGTCTTAGCTCCTGAGGGCATTCAAAATACTTTCAGAATAAATTACCAAACTTAATGGTACTTAAAGTCTAGGCATTATTACGTAAGAGTACATCCGCTACTTTATGTATTATAGTTCATATGCTATAATTGAAGTGGGCTTTACGTTTGCATCATGGCAGAATATAAGACAGTAGCCACTGGCCACTGTACAAGGAGGTCCCAGGCTTCACTTGAAATGTGGCTAGTGAGACTAAATAAATGAATTTTTAATTTTTACTGATTTATTTAACTTAAATTTTAGAACTGATGTTTGATTTACTTACTGGAACAGTTTTAAATAAGGTTGAAACAACTCAAGTATGTTAATCAATGTTTATAACTGTACATTTTATAAAATCTAAAAGCAGATCAAGTATTTTCAAGAAAAATTGAGCATCTGAATTGAGATGTGCTGTCAGTGTTAAACACACACCAGATTTCAAAGACTTGTTACAGAAAAAAAAGTAAACTATCTCATTAATAATTCTTTATACTGATTACATGTAGACATAATTGTAGTGGGCTGATAGCCTCCAGAAAGATGTGTCCATGTCCTAATCCCTAGAACTTATCAGTACTACCTTATATGGTAAACAAGTGAATATTACCTTATGTGGTTAAAAAAAATGTGATAGAGAATCTTGAGAGAAGGAGCTTACCCTTGATTATCTAGGTGGCCTTAAATCCAATGTCAAGTTTTCTGTTAAGAGTGAGGCTAGCCAGTCATGGTGGCTCATGCGTCTAATCCCAGCACTTTGAGAAACCAAGGTAAGTGGATAGCTTCAGCTCAGGAGTTCGAGAACAGCCTGGGCAAATGGCAAAACCCCATCTCTACAAAAAATACAAACATCAGCCAGGTGTGATGGCATGAGCTTGTAGTCTCAGCTACTCAGGAGGCTGTGGAGAAAGAATCACCTGAGCCTGGGGAGTTTCAGCCTGCAGTGAGACATGATTGTGTCACTGCATTCCCGCCTGGGCAACAGAGTGAAACCCTATCTCAAAAAAATAAAAAAAAAAATTTTAAAAAAAAAGAGTGAGGCTGAGGGAGATTTGACAGACAGAAGATGAACAGGTAACATGACAATGGAGGCCAAGATTGGAGTGATATGGCAGCCACAAGTCAATCCACAAGTCAGCATCCACAAGAATCTGGAAGAAGCAAAGAAGGGATTTTTCTCTAGAGCCTCCCATAGGAGCGTAGCCCTGCTGACACCTTGATTTCATGTCTGGGACTTCTGTTCTCCAGAAACATGAGAGAAAAAATTTCTATTGCTTTAAGCCACCCAGTTTGTGGTAACTTGTTACAGCAGTCATAGAAGACCAATAAAGTATTTTGGGTTAAAAATAATATTTAAATTATTTTCATCTTTTTGTTCAACTTCTTTATATGTGGCTAGCTAGAAAATTTTAAATTATAGATGCAGCTATATATATATACTTTTTTGTTTTGTTTTGTTTTGTTTGTTTTTTGAGACAGAGTCTCGCTCTGTCACCCAAGCTGGAGTGCAGTGGCATGATGTTGGCTCATTGCAACCTCCACCTTTCAGGCTCAAGCGATTCTCCTGCCTCACCTTCCTGGGTAGCTGGGATTACAGGCATGTGCCACCACACCTGGCTAATTTTTGTATTTTTTGTAGAGACGGGGTTTCACCATGTTGGCCAGGCTGGTCTTGAACTCCTGGCCTCAAGTGGTCCACCCGCCTCAGCCTCCCCAAGTCCATCATATTTCTATTGAACTATACTGCTGTAGAATAAACTATCCCAGAGTGTCTATCTTTCCAAATATTTTTGTTGGGATTTCCATCTCTTAGGTTACATATGTAAGAAGCCAAAAACCCTCTTCAGTTCACAAAGCGATGAAACGTTAGTATGATATCATCATTCCTGGAACATGGAATCCTCAATTCATGTTTGGGAATTAATTTATTAAGTGTTAACTTGTAGGTTTCTTTATTCATTCAAAAACATTAAGCTGAGAACACTAGTTAATATATTAGATGACAGAAATGACATTTTCAAAGTTTCCAAGAAGATGGAAGGAAGATTGAAATCTAACATGATAGAAAATAACAGAGACAAATTTAAAGTCCACACTTAGGATCAAATAGCAAGCTGTGAAAACAGAGACAAGGAGATGTGACTTCACGGTGGCATGTGTGAAATAGACCTGGGGGTTTTCACTGATGGCAGATTCAATCCAAGTTGGCAGGCTGATACAGCTGCCTATTGTGACCTTGAGTTGTTCAAATAAATATCGGGGTTCCACAAATGCCAGTCATGTCTTAGGCCACAGCTGAGCCATTTCCAATGACAAACAATTAGCCTGGAAAAGGGACAGTCCAGGAATAACATAGGAACTGCCTTTACAACTAAATGGCTCTTCACTGAGAGATGGCTGGCTCTGCAACCTGCCACAAAAATAGAAACAATCCACATCTTCCATAGCCCCAGTGTCCTCAGGATTCTGCTAAATATTGGGAGAAAAGTCTAATTTCAACTCTCCAGTATTGAAATAGTCTACCTCAAAAGGCAGTAAACCTCTCACGTCTTAGAGAAGACTCTCAGAAAAGGGCCCACCATGAAGTCCCACGTAAATCTCATATTCAATTGCAATTCCCAGTGTTGCAGGTGGGGCCTGGTGGGAGGTGATTGGATCATGCAGGTGGTTTCTTGTGGTTTAATACCATCCCTGCTTGGTACCATCGTCATGATACTCAGTTTTGGATTCTTTAAAAGTGTGTGCCACCTCCCCCCTCTCTCTCTTCCTCCTACTCCAGCCATGTGAAATGCCTGCTTCCCCTTTGCCTTCTGCCATGATTGGAAGCTTCCTGGGGCCTCCCCAGAAGCAGAAACCACTGTGCTTCCTATATAGCCTGCAGAACCCTGAACCAATTAAAACTCTTTCCTATATAAATTATCCAGGCTCAGATATTTCTTTATAGCAATGCAAGAATGAATTAATACAACCTCCTGAGGTAACTGTGTACTCTTTTTCAGAAACAAGGTACATAGAAGTGAACATACAGGACAGTAGTTAGGAGCACAGACTGCAGACTGAGACTGCCTGGGTTTGAATCCTAGCTCTGTCCTTTACTAGCTGTGAGACATTGGGAAATTTACTTTGAGTTTCTATCTCCTCATCTGAAAAACTGGGATAATAAAAGTTCCTACCTCCTCAGGTCATTGTCAGGGTTAAATAATATATACAGATGTATATATGTGGGTGTGGGTCTGCAGTGCTTAGGGTAGGGCACAGTACATGATAAAGGCTCCATTAGTTTTGGGTATTATTATTACATCAGAAGAAAAGGACATTTAAATCTGAAAAGTCTCTCTATAAAATTCTTCTGTGTTTGAAAATCATAGTAACTTGCCATTTGGATTTCTGTTAGGCGATTGGGAGAAAATGGACCCTCTCGGTGGGGATGGAATTTCTCCATTGGCCATAATATCAGCCTTAGCAGCAAAAGATCTCTCATTCCCCCGCTGCTGGACCAGTCACCTCATCTTCACAAGGATTCGTCTGTGGGCCAACCCCTGCCCTCACTCCCATGACCAGAGAGTCATGCAGTTCAGAGGACCAGGGCCCCTGAAGCAAGGGAGGAATTTCATTTTTAGCAAAGAGCTGAAGGCTGTGGAGGAATTATGTAAATACTTACGTTAGATTTGATAGGAAATAAAAGGAATGGTCTCTATCTCATGTGGTCCTGACATTTTTCTTTTATTTATTCATTCATTTAGTCAGCAAATATTTATTAAGAGCCTTCTTTTTGCCCTCTGACATAACAGGGATCAAAACTGATGACAATCCCTGCCTTCGTGGAACTTACATTCCTGTGGAGGGAGACAAGTTTGGTAAGTAAGTGAGTTATAGTAAGGTGAAAGGCAGCAAATGCTACTGCAAAAATAGACCAGGAGAATGGAGATGTGCAGTTCTGAGATGAGGGTGAAATTAAAATCAATAAAGTGGTAAGGGAAGACCTCACAGAGGAGGTGATATCTGAGCAGATACTTGGAGCAGGGAGAACGTATATCACGTAGACATCTGGGGAAGAGCATTCCAAACAGAGCAAGAGCCAATGAATACAGATGTGTGCCTATCTTTGAAGGGCCAGCAAGGAGCCCAGTGTGGATAAAGGAGAGTGAGCAAAGAAGAGTGAAGTAGGAGAAGATGCTGTGGAGATAATGGGGGTAAAAGTTGAGGGCATATTATTAGGGCCCTTTGCAAGGACTTTGACTCTTACCCTGAAATAATAAAACCACTGTGTGTGGGTTTGGAACAGATGACTGACAAGACCTGACTAACTTTTTAACCTCACCATCTGCCTGCTGTGTGAAAAATATAGATTGTAGAATATAGACTGTGGCAAAGGTGAAAGCAAGAGACCACCCTAGGCTTCCCCTATAATCCACGTAGAGGAAGTTGTGGCTCGGCCCAGGGTGACAGCAATAGAGGTGGTGGGAAGTGGTTGGAGTCTGAATATATCATGAAGTTAGAGAAAGATAGCTTTTCCAATAAATTTAATGTAAAATCTGAGAAGAATGGAGTGTAAAATCTGAGAAGAATGGAATGTAAAATCTGAAGACAGTAGTTGGCAATTTCTAGGTTTTCGATGTGAGTAAGGAATGGAAAAGATGGAGCTGCTATTCACTGCAATGAAGAAAGGTATGGATGGAATAGGTGTGGGGACTAGGGAAGATCTGTTTTATAATTAAAAACATTTTGCCCAGGCCAGAGAAAGGAGTCATCCCCAATTTCAGTATGCCCCAAAACAATATGGGAGAAAATCCAACCAGTGAATCAACAACCACTTGACAGAGGAGGTTTTGAGGCAAATGAAGTGTCCAGTGAAAGCACAGTCTTCATGGTTGCTAAGGCAACTTCCAACTCTTTATTTCCGAAATATGATTGTTAAATACCTTAACAATGTATAATTGTGTGTGTGTGTGTGTGTGTGTGTGTGCATTAAGGAGATGGTCTAGAGAGTCCTTTAAAATCTTGACAGAATAATTGCCTCAGCCTTATTCTGCCCCTAAGGGATGGGAGGTGAGAGATTAAAGCTAAGTTTCACAAAACTAAACCTGATATGTAAATGCCATCTTCCTGAACCATCAGCAAGAAAGCAGCACTTGGTATTGATGTTTGTGACACAGAAGTGTTGGTAAACCAGGCTAGCCTTCCCATTTTTTCTTCTCTTATTTTGGCCTCACAATGTACTCTGCCCATCAAGGCAAATATTTTAGCTAATAAGAAAGACTGTTTATTAAATAACAGCGCTTAGGAAGCCTAACTTTCCCTAACACAATTTTTCTTCAGCTGGGGTCACTCTGCACTACAAGAATGTTTAATTAAAGGAAGGGGGAGAGGAAAAATATTGCCATACTCGTAGGGTTTGAAAATAAGTCACTTAACACCTAAAATTGCAATGTCCCCTGCTATCACTGTTTTCCAAGCTTCATTAATTTTTTTCTTCCAAAGCCAGCATCCACCCTTACAAGGTTTTGTTTCCTATCATCATCAAGGCATGTATAGGCATTCATCCATGACAAATGGATGCATTTGATCCATAACTGATTTATTACTAGAAACGATACAGTTCTGGAAGTAAAAATAAGGAGAATAAAAAATACTTAGGATAATATAAAAATATCACCTACTTACTGAATATGCCCTATAAAAGTTTCATCTGAAGCAAACAGCAGCATTCCAGACAGTGTAGTATTGAATGCTTTGACCTTTTATTCCAAGGTGGCAATTCTTCTTAAAACTGGGAATCAGTTCACAGATTAGATTCACAAATGAGAAGGTGGAGAGAGGGCAGGAGAGAGTAAGCAAGCAAGACCCTTAGGTATTTGCTATGGTGAAGAGATTTGATGGAGAAAAGGAAAGAAAGTTCCATAGCCTCAAAGGTTTGCTTCATTTTTACTTAAATGAGGAGCTGGGCCATATGACAATTCATTCAAAAGTCAGCTATATGTAAATAAAACAAAACAAGCTTGATGTCATGTTATTTTTTTGATTCACACACTGGATTATTCCCTTCTCAAATCTACACTTTTGCCTTCTTTATAGACTGAGTAAACTGATACAACATTGGATATTTCAGTATCCAACAAATACTGAAATAAGCTAAGATATCTAAGCTTGGATATCTAAGAATGAAAGAGTACCGTCACAAAGAAAATATCATTTTCTAACCACTAAGGTATTTTGTGGCCATATCATGAATGCTGTTCAACAAATAGCTCTTGCTGTCTGCCTTCCAGGAACATGGTAGAACTGTACTTCATGGCCCCTTGCTACCGGGTTAAGCCATACGCCAAGGTCTGGCCAGTGAGTTGTGATGCAAGTTACTTCCAAGTCAAGGCATTTATTTGATGTTGAACCTACAAAACTCTCCTTTTTCTGCCACGGTGAACAACACTGTTTCAAAAAGATGCTGCTCTGAATTCTGGATTGAAGACAATGTAGAGCACAGCCCCCACCCAACCTTGGCAGACAGTGGCGTGAGCAAGAAAGAAGTATGCATAAAGATATGGGGCTGATTGGTTACCATAGCATCACCTAGCATATCCTGACATACATTTACTTCCATCTTAACGCTGTCCATCACAAACAAAACTAATGATACTGGCAGAGAAAATTTCTGTGTTGTAGTCTATAACAGCATAGGATCTGGAATCAGGTTACCCCAGTTCAAATACTGGCTTTACCACTTACTAACTGTGCACTTTGAACAAGTTATTTAACCTCTCTGAGCCTGATTTCCTTCACTGGTACAAAGTAAAAAAAAAAAAAAAAACAAGAGTAACTTTCTCACAGTGGTAAATATAAGGATTAATGAAATAATATAGAATGATTAGCACAGGGCCAGGCACATAGTAAACACTTAATACAAATCTTAATTTTATATATATATATATATAATATATATATATTATATATAATATATATATATAAATCTTATACATAATTGAAGGAGAAAAGTGCTATTTTTTTTCAAAGCCAGCTTCCACTTTGTCTTCTCCTACCCTCAATGCATTTACAAGCATTAATTCATGATAAACCAATGCATTTTCCCTTGTATTCTTCTGATTTTCTCTAATTCTGGTTTTCTCACATTCTACCTCCTGACTAAAGACAATGTAAGTTTCTTTGCCTAGAATTCTTCGCTACTCAAATTCCATCCCTTACTCTTGGCATAACCCATTCCTACTTCTTCAGGTGATATTTGAAGCACTACTTTTCACTGAAACTTTGACCTGTGTCTTAGACCCTTCCCCCCACCAACAGCCCCTCCAAGAAAGGAAAGAAGGATGGACAGATACTATTGGAGTTACCCAGGGGCCATAGTAGAAAGACAAGAATGTCTGTCCTGTCAGGAACCCCACTTCATTTACCTAACACTGGATATAAGTTTAGAAATACCATCTGATTCTTCTGCCTCCAAATGTTCTATTATGATGACAACTTTCTTGACTTAGCATTTTTATATTGTTTCCTGTTGATGAATAATACCGTATCCTGTAGAAAGAACTTTACACCAGATCTTATTCACATAAACAAGTACATCAATAGGGTTTTCTGCTTACAATAATAATAAACTACCCTTAGTGACTTTCAACAATTTAATTAAATACAATTAAATCTAGTTTGTTTTGGCAACCTATTAATGTCACAATTGAATATAAATAGACTAATGAAAAGATTATAATTAATAAATCCTTTACACTACTGTAAAATTACTCTGATGCTCTGCTTGCCAGAAATACTTAACAGCGTTTTTGAAGTATGTTAATGAGGACAGTAAAAAAGAGATAATAAAGTTTGATCAAAGCACTTGGTAAGGCTTCTATATGGTTTTTGCCCTCTTCAGTAGAGAGCTAATGCCTGTCATGTACAAATTCTTAGGAGACCCTGAAACACTAATTGCAAATTTACCATCATCTTATAATGTCTTTAAACCATGGTTTTAACTATATAGGCTACTCTCTCACACTAGCTCACATTCCCTGGAGTCTTAAATCATAAGATACTGACTACTGATAACTTCTTTTTTTCCTTCTTCTTTTCTTTCTTGCTAGAGCTCAAAATAGTACACACCTTGTTAGTTATGTAATTCTTAATACACATAGATGTCATTTTGTATTCAGAGTAGAAAATACAGGGTACATACAGCAGTATAGATGAAACACACATATGATACCTTGGGATGGACATTTAGCTACCATTGTGTTTATTAGAATATGCCTGGATTTCTTCCTTTAGTGACTGAATCCTATGATAAAAGGGTGATGGATTATTGTAAGAACAACACAATTATTGAAAAGAAAAAAACATCCCAAGAAGTGTGGATACACACTGTAAGATTTCAGCTGACTAGTAGCTCTTTTAATAGAACTATAGCACAATTATAATCCAGTCTGAGGGTCACAAAACACCAGTGCTAACTTTTGGATTATTTCCCTTTAATGAGTTATTGGTCAGGTATCTTCATTAATTAATCAAACTTCCCTATTAGTGACACCACACAGACACCAGACACCACTAAACTACTTTTTTTTTTTTTTTTTTTTTTTTTTTGAGACAGGGTCTTGTTCTGTTGACTAGGCTGGAGTGCAGTGGCACGATCTTGGCTCACTGAAGCCTCTGCCTCCCAGGTTCAAGCAATTCTCTCATCTCAGCCTTCCGAGTAGCTGGGATTACAGGCACATGCCACCATGTCCAGCTGATTTTTGTATTTTTAGTAGAGATGGGGTTTCACCATGTTGGCCAGGCTGGTCCCAAACTCCTGACCTCAGGTGATCCACCCTCATCAGCCTCCCAAAGTGCTGGGATTACAGGTGTGAGCCACTGCTCCCGGTCAGACACCACTAAACTTCTTAACTAGACCACCTTCACCTGTAATTACGTACACAATGTACTTTTGGAAGGAAGGATACAATAAGCATTGACCTGTTTATATTGACTTAGAACATGTGGCCAACTATTATGTATTCCATAGTAGAGATTAACCATAAAAATCTATATCATGTACTGTGATGAGTACATGGATTTTATTATCAGAAGACTCAGGTATGATAATAGGTGAGTAAATAAGTCCAAGTTGTAAAACTTCTATGTGCATCTTTTCATATAATAAAATATTATCAGCATACAGGTTAGTAGTAGGCAGTTTATCTGTTCCATCCTTGCTCTGACATTCACATATTTACATAAAATATAAGAAGATAACATGTCCTAAACACCTACTATATGGCAAGTGTAGAACAAACATTGTCTCTATTTCTTACAGAATACACATTATCGCTATGTCTTACTTAAGCTGGCAAGGTAGGGGTTTTACAAACCCCCACTCTATGGGTGAGGCAGAGAAAGTTACACTGACTTGCCCACGCCTGGAGCAAATAAGTGTAATAATGATAGAGATGGGATGTAAACTCCCGGTTGGCCTAGTATACCAAGTTTCCCCTGTCCCTGCAGACTCCTCAGACCCAGAGTCACTGGTAGCAAAGAGGGTGAAGGCAGTTAAAAGACCTGCAAGCAAATCAACTCTTTGCCCAATTTCCAAAGATGTAAGTAGATGCTACGTGGCCCATTTTGATGGGACAACTGAATTGCATAAAAGAACAGCCTATCCCAGGAACAGACAACATGTTTCATCTCAAAACAAAACAAGTAAGTCCATGTAGGGCACTTAGCCCAGTATGTGACATATAGTAGTGCTGGATGATGATTCTTCTAAGAGGAGTTATTCTGGTTGTTTCTGAATTTATTCCTGTCTCATTTAATTACTCAATGACTGGAGAACTATACTGTGCTTGGAAGGATTCAGAGGTTGAATCTGGGTTCAAACACAAAGCATATAGTAATTGATCAGCAATGTCTGCTAGAGCAAAATCATAGGAAGAATGGGCTGTGTGTCAGGAATTTGCCATCACTGGCCGGGGGGCTATCTTTGGAAGACAGGGGTGTTGTTTTCGTTGTTGTTGTTGTTGTTGTTTGTTTTTGATGATGACAAGAATTGGAAAGGGAAATTTCAGGTCTGATTATATAGGCAATTTCTACCTAACATGTTATTAGGCTATGGGTCTAGCAAGTTTTATTTGAAAGACAGCATATTCTATATTTTAGCAAAAAGACACTGCTGCAAATGATCAAATCACTTACCAGAAAGGTCAACCCATTATACAATATTCTAGATAATTTATAAAGTCTCAACATGATAAATGCCAAACAATCTTATGAAAAAGTTAAATTGCAGTTGGAGAGCATTCTTTTCCAGTGTGAATGATTTATAACTTCATTTTAAGTAAACCAAAAAATCTACACTAAGAGCAAGTCTAATAAATGTAGATTTATCCTATGCTGCTGCTTCCCTGACTGGGGCACAAAAGGGTCTATGGAGTCTAAAAGAATTTATTGGGAAACAATAACTCTGTAAAAAATGCTTGAAAATTAGGCACTGTTAATCCAGAAAGGAAAAAAACCATGCTTTCAGCCAGGCCTGTTTGCATAGGGAAATTAAGAATCAAGCATTATTCAGCTGCAGTACTCAAAACTATTACATGATATACAACAAGCTAACTGCCCAAGAAACAGATGCCTGGCTAATGTAGAACAATGCTCCTCAACATAGAAATTTGTTATTTAATTTCAATTGACCAAGAGTAGATTGCTGATATTCCTAAAAGTAGTACTTGTTTGTAATGGAAACCTGACTGAGAATTGTTACACAACCTAAGTTTTCCTTTTATGTTTATACTTATTAAGCACATTTTGCAATGTTTTGTACAAATGGGAATAACAGTACCATCTACGTAGGGTTTTGGTTCAGACCAAATGTCATATCATAAGAAACATCCCATGTTAAGGCTTGTATACAGCAAGCACTCAGTAAACCGAGCCATTATTCAGAAGCTGGCAAAACTCCCAACTTGCCCTCCCAAGCTAGGTGACCTTAAACAAATCCATTAACATATTCTTTTACATTTTTGTTACTAGAAAAGTGGGAAGATGCTCTACCTCATGAGGATATTGTGAGGTTTAACTGAAATATCAAATGCTTAAGATCGTTCCTTCATTTAGCAAGTATTTATTTGGCCCTCACTGTGTGCCACACTGTTTCAGGCATTTGTCAGACTGCTGGGTTCCTTACCCTCACATAGCTTGTGATGTGGTAGGGAAATCAGAGTTATACCAGGGACTATAGTAAAGTGTCATTTCTATTACTACTGGGTAACTGTAGTCCTCCGCCCCTAGGAGGTGCAATAAACCATTTGTTGGATATAAATATTAAGTTTGTTGTAAGTTAAAAATAATTACTATCTTAGGTTTGAGTTAGAGTTATGCAGCTTCCTTTAATACAATAACCAGATGTTTGAAATCAACAGTTATGACACATCTTGCCTTTCATTGCACAAAGATAACAATAATTCAAAGGTGTGAAAGGCCCCACAGGGCTCAGAGAGTCTGGCCAGAATATGGTTGCCACTTCTTTGACAATTGGCTGACTTGTGTTCCATAGAGACTCTCATTGTGACACTGGGGCTCTTTCCATCCATCTCCATCTGTGATCATCAATGTACACTGATAAGGCAGCCTTGAGATTGTAAAACTAAGTAATTAAGAAATAAAATCTTGTTTTCCCTTTAATTGGAATGATACAAAAGTTTCTCTAACTAGTGCAGGGCCTCTAGCCATCAAGGTCTGCTACCCCATCCTTTTACACTTACCTGTCTCTAAGTCTTTACTTGTTCTGTTCCTTTGTGTTAAATAAACCACCCTTCTGTTCTTCTAGCTGACTTCCTACCCAACCTTCAAAGTCCAACACAAAATCACCTCCTTCATGAGGGCTTCCCAAATCTTCTCTGCTCAGAATGAATTGCTTCCTGCTTTATGATTACATAGTACCCTATTCAGTTATGACCCATAACACAAGCAGCTTTGCATCTTAGACACAGAGTTAGAGAAGAATCAGGCGAGGACTCAAAACTTTCTGGAGGTAATACAAAGTAAGTTTTTCAACTCTCAGAAGTTGACAGAACTGTCTAAAGCTGCACTATCTTAAACAGTAGCTATTGGACCCATGTGGCTCTTTAAATTTCAATTTGATTTAATTAAACTTAGGTCATTTTCTTCTTTTTTAATGAAAAAAACTTCATGGCACACATTTTTTGGATAGAAGAGATACTCTGAAGATGGTTAGCAAATTAACCCACATAAGGGATGGTCAATGACTCTCAACTTGCATGCCAGTGTCAATCATTTGACAGGGAGTGCCTGGAGAAAGATTGAAAAAGATTCTAAAATCACATCTAGGCTCTGTGTGAGCAACTGCTGTGACTGATTAACCTAAGCTGGTGATAGATAGAAGTCTGGAGATTGGCAACATGCACGCCATAAATTTGCTCTTACTTCTAAACAATCCTGCAAGCAACTGTCAAAAGTGTTGCCCTACAAATGTTCACCCAGTGACCTAGATTCTCAAGCACCTGTCCAGTAGGTGGCATCTTGCATGTTCATCAGATAAAGAGATGTAAAAAGCTACAAAACCAATTCATTTTAATAAGACCCCCATCCGGGAAGCTTCCAAGTAACATGTACTCATGTCTTATATCTTATCATTTTATTTCACAATAGGGGATTTATTGATTTATTTATACTTTTTGCTATGCCACATATTTTTAAAGTCGCAATTTTTATAAAGGGCTGACCTCTAGTTACCATTTCTCTATAGAACAGTGGTGTTCAAACTTTCCTTGACCACAGCACACTCAGTAGTTGAAATATCTAATTCCTGTCTTCACTTTCCAGTGGAAAAGTGCTTAAGTAATAAATACTTAGAAGAAAATTTGTATGAATCACAAATTATTTTTCATACAATAAGAAAGACCTATTAACATGCTCTTATATTATAAAATGATGCCCTATGAACCAAAAAATAAGATAAATATTATGGGTCATGAGAATATGTTGCAGAGGTTTGCAGGCAGTGAATGTCACCAACAATGTCACCATACATCACCATACAAGCAAATTTTAAGATAATTACAAATACAGTCATGTATCGCTTAACAACAGGGATATGTTCTGAGAAATACATCATTAGGTGATTTTGTCATTGTGTGAACATCAGAGTGTACTTACACAGACCTAGATGAGATAGACTACTACCCACCTAGGCTATATGATATAGATTATTGCTCCTAAGCTACAAGCTGTATAGCACATCAGGGTACAGAATGTTGTAGGAAATTGTAGCACAACGATAAGTATTTGTGTATTTAAACCTAACTCTAGTACCTAAGTGATGAAATAATCTATACAACAAACCCCCATGACACAAGTTTACCTATATGACAAACCTGCATATGTACCTCTGAACCTAAAGCAAAAGTTTAAAAAGCCTAACTAAACCTAGAAAAGGTACGGTAAAAATATGGTATTATAATTTTATGGGACCACTGTGGTATAAGCCATTCATCGTTATGCAGCACATGACTATACATGTTTTAGCAATAGGAATATAGATAAAATATTTTCTGAACCACAATTAAGCAATGTCTTAAAGTCTAGTCTTCAGCAAATTTAAAATCCAAAATATGTAAATATCCATCATTACAGACTACAGGGTTAACCCAATCGTCCACAGCAAACTTAATTGATAATGATGAAACTAAACCACTACTAATTTATAATTAAAAAACAAGGACCACAGCAATTGAAAATCACTAATAACTCAAGACAACACTCATGACACACTGATAACAAATTATCCTTCTCCACATTGCATGAATTCTAATTCTTTGCATACAGAAACTTTGCAATGTTTCCAAGAGCTGACAGCCAGTTAAAGAATACTGAATTAAGGAAGTTCAGTAAACACTAGTTAACATGTAATTTATAGCAAAATGATAACTCAGTTGTTTTACTAATAAGTAGCCTTTATTCATAGACAAAATGAATATATATGATATCATAAATCATTTTCTCAAAAGAGAATCTTGGGTTTCAAGATAAATTTATAACTCACTAGTGGGCTGCAGACTAGATTTGGAGAACTTTCATAAAGTATTAAATTAAGAGTTTTACATATGCATCTCTATGCTGCTTGATGCTTCTGTTTTATTAGATTTGCTGATTACTGTTTTTTCCCAACCATAATCAAGAAGAAAATTAGGCTGGGCACGGTGGCTCACGCCTATAATCCCAGCACGTTGGGAGGCCTAAGTGGGCGGATCACCTGAGGTCAGAGGTTTGAGACCAGCCTGGCCAACATGGTGAAACCCTCGTCTCTTCTAAAAATATAAAAATTAGCTGGGCATGGTGGCATGTGCCTGTAGTCCCAGCTACTCAGGAGGCTAAGGCAGGAGAATCGCTTGAACCTGGGAGGCAGAGGTTGCAGTGAGCCGAGAGCATGCCATTGCACTCCAGCCTAGGCAACAAGAGCAAAACTACGTCTCAAAAAAAAAAAGGAAAGAAAAAAGAAAGAAAGAAAATTAATTGATTTTTAGCTGAGATTCAAATGAGGCTATTGAATCAACTATTGTCTTCATTATATCAAAGCTGTTTACCAGAGCCCCAGTAATACCATTTAGCTTACAGACACAATGTTTTAGTCTGCTGGGTATAACTCAGTACAGGACTACACCATGGGCATATTTTTAAAGTAGGTCAAAACACATGTGCACAGAACATCCCCTTTTGATTCCACTTCCCTCGCTTCTCTCTCTACTCTGCTTGCATAAAGATATTTGATAAAATCATTAGAAATCATAAAATGTTAGAGTTGGAGGTAGTCTTGTCTGAGGTTATGCACTGACAGCCTGCAGGTAGGATAGAGCCATCAGTCTTGATTTATTTGGCCCACCTGACATTTCCAAGGTAAGAAAATTACACATCAATTTTTAGATTTCTGGCTTGCCTTGCAATATTCAGCATTTCCTAATATCTGAACAATCATTTTGTCACCTGCCTGGTCCATGATGGTGTTTGCTTTGCCTACCTATGAAATCATCCACAAAGTTTTCAAATAGTTTTAGCAGAATGCTTTTTTACATAAGAAAAGGTAATTTTGAATCCTGCTATGTCAAATAGATAAAGTTAATAAACCAGTTCCTTGGGTAGTTTAAAACTTATTTGGCAGAATATACTTCACTGTTTATGGAACACATGGATCTCCCTCTTGGAGCTACCAGGTACAACATGAAAATTGTTGAATTCCTTCCCACGCTCTCATCTGGAGCTTTGCAATTTGACAACTTAAAGGAGATCTTGAAAGCTCCAGCCTCTGACTCCTACTCTGGTGCTCTTTCCTCATTACCATTTGATATTTTTTAAAAAGGCTTAATGTGATGTTTTTCTACCACTTTTTGAATTTTAAAGAATGTAAAGTTCTCACTCGGCTAAAGCTAGGATGATCAATAAATAATTATTGAATACATACCCAATATTAATTCAATGAGAAGTAAGACCTGCTGGCCTGCTGATCCTAATGCAGTATACTGTTAATTTCAGGAACACTGAGGTGCTTTACCCCCTGCCTGTGTATTAGCTTATCTAAATCTAGGAGCTGACATTCTGTATTCACTTGAAAGTATGTGAATCAATTGGTCCATTCTTCATCCACAAAAGTGGAAAATAAGAAAAGTCCTCTGAATGTACACAGATTCAGCTTGGATTTATTCTTGTGTGATATGAAAGCACACCTAGAAAAGAAGGTCTAGTAACTGCATAGTAAAGGTAAATGCCAGTAATTACATCAGTAGAACAATGCCACACCTAAGGATGTGAGAGGTCTTCCTCCCTTGCAGACTCAGAGAACAACTTGGTTTGACTCCTTCCCTGCGTTAAAGAAAGATCTGCTTAATGAATAGGCAGATCCCTCAGCATTCCTATCCATTTTCTTGGAGAAACCCTGTGATAATATCATTTTTCTTTTCTTTTTTGGACCTTTATTATATGAAGTTGGGAAAAGAGAAAGAAATAATGGGCCAACAGAGTTCCCTAAGTGCTTTGAGGGTATTATCTTTGGGGAATTCAATTAGGTTATACAAATTTTAAACAAAATTCATCTTCTCTTTATTCCCAAAGAAAGGAAAAAGTGCTTGTCTGGTGTTATTTTCTCTCTGCTACAAAGGCAAAGTGACTTTTTCTCTTGATATCAAAAGATTTGGAAAGTAAAAGTCCTTTCCCTATTTGCCAAGTGAAGCCTCTTCAGTCCCTCAAGACAACTCCTATAGTCTTTTCTAAACTTATAGAGGAGAAAAATCCCCAAACCTGTGACTGAAAACCTTAGGGATTTAATTTTTCACTACATTTGTAAGTATAGTCTTTGAATTATTTTGAATGGAGTAGCTGTCAAAATTGAATAGAGTCAAATATCTACATAAAGATACACACATAATACATGTATGTTATACTGACAAAATAATGTTTATGACACTCTCCATTTGAGAAATCTCGAAATTATAAACACACACACAAAAATGCACATACATCCATATGTACACACACACTCACACACAAGTAGTAACAACTAAGGAACAGTTTAAGATTCCACCAAAATCTTCATTCCTCGTTTCCTTAGTAATTAAACAAGTATTTTCTGAGAACCTAGTATGTGTCAACTCAGTAGAAGTGAGAGATAAAAGGATGAACAGAGGATTCCAGAATTATCTTGGCCCATGCTTCTCAATGCATGTAATCTGAATAGGTATGGTAGATGCTGTCGAAAAAAAAAGTGTCTGGAAAATTTTAGTTAAACAAAATCAGATTTCTTACACGCAAATCTTTCCAGAACTTTCATATACTTACAAGCACTGCAAATCTCCAGGAGGAGAACATAACAAACAGTGGACACTTTTGTCCAAGGAGTATCTTCAGAAGACAGTGTTTCATGAAGTATAATTCTGAAATGCTGGCCTAGACATTTTACTGGATTAAGACCCTTAAAAGGAAAAGGGCCTCATGATATTTTCCTACTTATTCTCCCTTCTTTTTTCTTAAACTGGAAACGTGGTTTGGTATCTTTCTAATTTTACCATTGAAACTCTCTCACTAATATTTTAAGCTTTTTGATAAAAAGCAATATATGTTCATTCCAAAAATGAATCCAAAAAATAAAAATTATAGGAAGTTAAAAGTTCAAGTCATTCTAGTCCTCTCACCAGATTTAACTACCACTGTAGAAAGGATGTTTATATCCTTTTTGACATTTTTATGTATGTGCAAATATGATTCTTTTCTCCAAAATTATTTTGAAGCAGAGTATTCTGTTCCTTGTTTTCTCCACTCAGCAATGTAACATGGGCATTTTTCCTCGTGGGTAGATAGACATATTCTCATCCCTTTTAATGTCTACATCAAATCCCATTGTGTGGATGTGCTATGATTTATTTTACCAATCCCCTTTTGACGGAGATGAAACTCCTCTTCAATTTTTTGCCATTAAAACCATTGTTGCAATAACTATAGCTTAACATACATCTTTTCACATTTGTCTAATAATTTTCTTAGTATAAGCACCTGGAAATGGAAGTGTCAGGATTTGCACATTTTACATCTTGGGAGATGTTACTAAATTGTTATCAAAAATGGCATGCCGATTTATCCAGTTAAGCTTTGATACTTTCGCAGAAAGTTTAAAATTGAAAGAATGTTTAAAAGAGTTCAAATTGTCTTCTTAAGTAAACTTTAAGAAATTAACAATTAAAGGCTAAACTTCATTTTTGCCATTTCTAAATATTTTTGTTTGCAGTGTGGTATAACATCTATTTTCCCTAACTAGGAGTTGAAACCATAGGTTTGAGCTTACGTAAGTAAGAGTTTTTATAGCATTGTAATAATTTTCTTATAAGTTCATAAGATCAGCAGGAAATATTTATTTGCATCTGTATTTGGCTTTGATATTATAGGGTCTGATCAAATATCAATAGCTGCACCCTGACTCTGCGATGAGGTCAATAGGATCAATCAGATGATCGATGGATTATCACTAAGCACCAGCTTGCACCGAATAACAACCTGTCTGCTCCAATCCTTAGGCCAATTCGCTATATTTAGCAGCCTAGCACTGGTACGCATTCTTAAAGAGCCAATATGCGACCATAGTTGTACCCACTATTTCTTTTATATTACAGTTATAAAACAACCCTTTATTGTAATGTACTCTGGTATTCTACTGCATATTCTCTGAGCAGCTTTCAATAAAGTAATATTGAATAGTAAGGTAAAAATAAGTATAAGGCATACAAAAATGCTTTTTAATATTTTAACAAAAATATCCTACTTTAAAATGGAAGGTGATGTTCAGTATGTAATAATCAAGGCAAAAATGAATATATCTAACACACATAGTTTGCTTAATATAGCTTTAAATCAGGTCAAGTATAAATTACACAGACAACTCTATTCAGAGTAATCTTTTTATATATCATTTCCGTACACCCCTGTCGATAAAATAGCAGTGACTCAGGAATAAATGATTCATTAGGCACTTAAAACTTCTTGTCTCATGTAATTTATCTATATAATTTAAAATTACTGAAGAATCCCAAGGATCTTCTCTTGCTAAATAATTTTGAGATGATTTATATTTTACTAAGTTTCAAGGACACCCACCCCCCCACCACCCCCCACACACACACATTCAAAATTAAGTAACTATCAAAATTGCTGTCCTAATTCATATATCCATAAGGGGAAAAACTCATCCTAAAACAGAAAATTATGATTAGCAAAAACCGTTCAATCTTTTTTTACCTGTTACACAAAAAAACCTGGTGATTATAAAGAGTTGAGGTGTCTATTTTATAATTACCTGAAACAATTGAACACCACTTTTGAGTTTTCATTTTTTAGTGTGTCTTTTTACAACTAAATGTCCTGTCTATAGCTTTATAATGAAAAATAAAAAAGAAGCTCAAGTATTCTTCAAGTTTTTAGGGTAATTTCCTACATCATTCCCCAAATAAAAACTTGATCCAGCCAAATATTAAATTATTGAAATTACAAATCTGTTAATCTACAGCACATTTTACTCATTAGTGTAATTTTAAAATTCACTTTCATTTGATTGACTGTTTTAATCTTCCTTAACTAGTGAGTAACTGAAAATAAATGGTGCATTCCTAATACTATAAATATGAAAAATAGGAAGTAGTTAGAGACTGCAGGCGAATACATTAAAATGAGTCAGTTTTCTAGTTAACATATTCTCATTCTGTTTGTGTACAAACCCACTGCATTGAGAAGACAGATCACAAATTCACGGCCTCACAAAAACGTGGTCTCGATTTCATGTTATGACAGCAGAAATTGGCCCAAGTCTCTAACCATTTCCCCTAAAGGACCCTGGCTGGCTGGTGCCATCCAGGTGAGGCAATCTGAACGAGGGGAACATCACGTCAAATTCCACTCACCTGTCAATGTAGTGGATTATTTCTTGAGAGACTGAAATTGGCTGTTTGCTGTCTGAATACCATCAATATTACCATGCAAGGAACAGCCAAAGTGCCCGTAAGAGGCTGGGGAACAGAGGGAGGGGATTGGGGGGAGCCATTCCTAAGCAGGTGAGGAAGCAGCTGTAAAGCTTTCACTCTCCTTCCATTCAAGGCTCTGAGTGAAAGATTTGTCATTTTCCACATTTCCCAGATACTTGGTATGCACGCGGAGTCTGCCTGCTCTTGCTTTATGAAAGAGGTGATTTTTCAAGCTTAGGCAAATGTGGCAGAGCTCAGGGTCTGCGGGTGTCTCATTTTTTTCTCATCATGTCACTTGTTTTAACCGATTTGAGAAAATGAGATTATGTTTTTCCTTTTTGCTCATTTATCCAGCAATTTATTTATTTATTTGTTCATTTAGGGGTGGATTGTCACAGATAACTGGCCCTGATTTCTATCTTGTTTTCATACACATTTCATTAGTGTCCCTGGAGATTTAAGACCTACAAGGGAAAACGTCACAACTCTCATCCAAAATAAAAGCATATTTTTATTCTTAAAATCAAAAGATTGTATTAAAGAGTCTGACTGGAATAATCTAGAATATGGCTATGACCAAGATCTATCACTTTAATCTTTGCAGCTATTGTCAAAAACCAAAGAAAGTTGAATAAACGTATTATATAGAACTATTGGATGTTAAGTTTAATATCATTTTAATCATTCTGCATCTAGGAAGGGATATTTATAGTTTCTTCATTTCAACAATAAAGCTGAAATGGGTCTCAGATGTATTAGCACTTGGGGTCAAAATTGGTTTCAGTGCTGCAGTTTCTTGGGGTATTTGACGCACAGATCAACCACGCATTGGTTGATAATACACAAATTCTAAGGAAGAAAATGGAGAAAACAAATATTGAGTTTAATTTCAGCCAGAACCTAATATGTGATTCTCAGTTTTAAACTACGGTATTTTAACAATAAGCCCTATAAAGACATAAGTTTACTTATTATACATAACCCCCAATGAAAAACTCCATATATTCACTGATTAAGAGAGACAACTATGTGAAAGCTTGTTACAAACGGTACTGTATCTATTTCATGATTATACGCACAGAGTAAAATAAGACACATAGCATTGGTAGTATATTCTAGCCATGTACCACATGGTTAACAAAACAATAGCAAGAGAAAAAAAAGAGTTGTTGCCTTGGCTATGTGGATTATTAGCTGTGTGAACAGCAAAACTTTATTCATCAAACATCCCTGGCTTGTGGGTTTACAGTCTATTAAGGGGGGACATCAGTAATTCCCAATATTTGTGAAGAACTTTACAGCTTACAAAAGACTTATTCGAAGTTATTTTTATTATATTTACACCCCACCTCTCCCCGCCCCCAACCACCATATCTATAAATGGGGAATGAGAGCAGAAAAGTCAGTTGCCCAAGGTTATGTCACTAACCTTAAGTGACAGAGACTCAGGTGGCCAGCCCCGAGCCCTGCCTTTCCCCCTCAACCACGTGCCACTCACTAGTTCTGCCATGGCCACCTCTCAGAATGGGTGTGCAGTTGAGATTGGACCAAGTATTGACATAATGAAAGTTTTCAAAAATTATATGAAGGGGCTCACACTTCCTCAAAGAAGCTATTTGGCATGGTCACTCGGTGCACCGAGAGGCATTTTCGCCTCCTGAGGACACAGGCTCTGGCGGTGAATCGTGCTGATTTGACCTCCAATGGCAGCTATTCCCTGTGTGGCCTCAGACAAGCCACCTAACCTTTCAGAGCTTCTGTTTCCTGGGCGAAAGGGGAGAAATTACACCCACTTGCATAAGGATTAAACTGAACAGTGTGAACTAATCCTCAGAGCCCTGCCTAAAACATACACGTAGTAGTTGTTTTTATTATGAATTCTTATTCTTGATCATCACAACGAATGCAGATGTCCCGCACTGTTTATTATTTATGACCATGTAACAAGTGAAAGACATTTGTGCCAGAACAAATTGTGATTAAGTGATTGGAGGTAAAGTGGGAATCTCAAATTCACTTTTGTTTTCCCTCCATCTCGGCTGCACTGAGGGTTTGAGTGGCGGTTCCCGCGCCAGGCTCAGGACACAGGATGCAGAAATACAAGCGCGTCCTGAAGAGGGCGGTTTCCCTGCCCACCTGCAGGGGCACCAGCGCCCCCTCGCCTTCCCTGTCAGACCAGGGCTGGGGGAAACAGGGTGGCAGGGCCCAGAAACAGCCCCCAGCCTCAGCCCCTAGCACAAGCCAGCCCCACCCCTTCTCCCGGGGCGGCCCGAGCTCCAGCACCCAGCAGGCTTGCGCGCTCGCTGCAGCCTGGTGCAGGCGCGCGGGAGGACCCTGGGCTGCATCCGCGCTCTGACATGCCTGCCCCCAGCAGGGAAGCTGAGCCCCAGGAGGCAGCAAGCGGGGCCCCGGAAGGTATTGCTGGAGGGCTGTACAGAAGAGCCTAGTATCGGTGTCCAGGCCGACTGAGGAGCCAGGGAAAGGCGAGGGCGTAGACGCTGGACTACGCAGCAGGAGGAAGCTCGACGGATGGGGGGAGGAGGCCATTGATGGGATTTGGAGAGGCGGGTGGAGGGCTGGGAGCACTTCAGAACTGAGCATCAGAAACTTGGGCGCGCAACTGGTCCCCAGAGCCCGAACTTGACCGTCGCGAGAGAGGAAGGGAGGGGAGGGAGGGAGGTGGGGTGGAGGGTGAAGGCGGGGTGAGTAGTAGAAGGATGCGAAGGCTGATACTGAACAGAAAATGGAAGGAAATTTTTCCAAGAACCGGGGAAGGTAAGGACAATCGAGCTGGGAGGGACTGTAATGAGAAAGCTGGAGAGGCAAAGAAGGAGAGCAAAATCCAGAATGAAGAGCGAGGCCGTGGAAGGGTGAGAAATATACTTTGAACATTAAGAGGAAGAAAGCAAAATGCGTCCGGAACTAAAAATTCAATATAGGAAAAACAAAACAAAACAAAACAAAAATCAGGTGGGAGGGACTTCGTCCCTGAAACTGCCAAAAGAGAGGGAAAAATGCCACTGAGCATACCGGAAGAACAGAAAGTGAAGGAAGGGAGAAAGGAAAGAAGGCACATTAAACCAGGCAAGAAATAGTAAGTTACTTTTTAATTTCTTTTTCATTGACAACTTGCTTCCAAAGTTAGTTTGGGGACTATGCCCCCACAAAATTCTTAGCCACATACAGACCAAGATTATAGTAGGTAAAATCCTCAAGTATTGAAAGTTATTCCAACTTTTGCAGAATATTCTGCTATTGGCCAAAGCATCCAAAAACAGATGACTTCTACTTTTCAAGGTGTGTAGAAGCAGGTGGGGTGACACTTAGAAAAACACACCTTTTCTGAGAAATTAATAGAAATACCTCCAAGACATTTTGGCACACTCCCCTTCCCCCAAAGCATCCAGCCAACAATATGTCTTGGAATTCAAAGGCAAGCTGCCCACACTATAGCACTTTATGTCACTTGCATTCAACCATCTGTTAAGGAAATAGTGGTAAGACTGGAGGAGGCTGCAGTGGAGCCAGCTCCTGACTTACCTGGTCTGTGCAGGTGATGCTGCTGGAAAGTGTGCTGAAGGGATCCATGGCAGAGTAGCATTGCACAAGCACTTATCCACAAATACAGGACCCAGGACATCGCAGAGACCATTGCCATTCTCTAAAGAGAACATTCGACAGGAAAGGTTACCTCCGGCTTCAAGCCCCCAGCTCAGTCAGCCCCACTGATGAGGGAAGGGAGGTCTCAGACGTCATGTTCCTTTGCTACTTCTCTGGCTAGAACTAATGATCCAGCAGAGGTCATGCCATGAAGTGGGATTGAGAGAAAGCCCTTTTCAGATGATCATACATTCATTTTTTTCTTAATTCTGCAAAACAAAACTCCAAGGATTGGCAAAATGCAAAAATAAAGTTTTAGGCTATCAGTTAGTCGGTTTAAAACAATGCATGCTGACTAAAAATCCTATTTTACACAATGATCTTTAAACTATAGTTATCCCAGGCACTGAAAAGCTGCAGACTCCTCCTGTTCATTCTAACTTCATTGCAAGTCTGACATAAGCCTGGAAGGAAAGAGTGGGTTCTTTTTTTTTTTTTAATTCTACAGTCATGAATTTTTAATTGCAATGCTGTCTTCTAAACTAAGTAATCATTTCTCAGAGGCATGTTGTAATCTCCTGATAGAACTGATCCTTTTGACTGGACCTAAGAATCAGAAGGGATTGTGTTTAGCCAGAATGAGTTTCAGATGCAACACCTATGCTTCTATCCTAGAGCAAGCCATAATTTGCAATATTGCTTAGCCTCCTAAGATTCCATTGTAGCTTTTGTTGTATAGCATTGATGAATATGCATATACAGGTGGCATATGTATTTATGGATGAATATGTACCTTTTCTCGGGTGCTGAAACTTTGACAGTCTTATCTGCACCTATGAGGATCTTAGGAACTACAAAGGCTCAACTGCGCTATATATTGTCCAATTTCTCAAACAACACCTTATGCTGCATTTCATATTGCCAAATTAATCAAACTTGAAGCACCGTCCTTACTCAGCCAGTGATAGGGAAGCATTTTCTACACAAGAATCCAGTTAACTGTATGCTTTTCTGTTAGGCAGAGAGGGCTTTGGAAGATTTCTTTCTTTCTTTTCCTTTTCACTGTCAAATCATACCCTTCAAAAATCTCAACTATACGTTGAAAACGTGCTAGTAACCTCCCAGCCTGGCTTCTTTATTCATGAAAATTGGTTCTTTATTAAAAACTGATGTTCAGAAAACAAAAATATACATCATATGTATGCACATAATGCACGCTAATTTGTGGATTTTAGCAGAGAGATGCAGTCTTGGAAGGATTTTAGGACTATAATAGACAAATGGTGACAACTATAATTAAGTGCAAAGCAGGAAAACATTATTTTCAACAGCTTGGTGCTATTCATGCCTAAGTCTGTGATTCAGATGGAGCATTCACTTTCTAATTAGTTTCACTGCCCACTGTTTACTTTTGTATACAACATACTTTGCCTTATTGTTTTCAGAACTATTGGGATAACATACATGCATTCTCTTCAGTGGAAATAAACAGCAACACCCCTCCTGTGAAACCTAAAATGAATGTATTTGGGGACTTTTTCAGAATACCCTGCAAATTACAGAAAGACAAAACAGAGGTGACTGTGGATGTATTTACTGCTTGTGAATTGCAGTTAAAATGTACTGGAAATTCATCCAAACTTGAAAAAAAAATCCTGCCACAACCAAAACTTAATAGTTTTTCAATGACTGCTTTCTCTTGCTCATTTCTTCACCCATATAGATCCTACCACTCAAAAGGATTACTGTGATTTTATGCTTGCAATATATATTTTTTTAATTTAACTTTTTTAAATTCTCAGCATTACTTCCAAGCCTCCTGCATGTCACTCTCACTGCTTGCTCCTTTACCAAGGGGTTGTCTCAATGTTATTAAGCGTCTTCCCCAAATAAAGCATTCAGCCTTGCACAGTTCTCTAGATATGCCTGGATATGTTTCAGATCTGCTTTCTGAATCTTAAACCCTTAAAGATGCTTCTTACCTGAAAAATCCAGCCAAGAGCAGAGTACTCTATTAGTGTTCATTGGAAAGATCTAACACTTTTTAAAATCCATCTGTGCCACAATTTAAAATTTTTTTTCAAAGAGCTTCCCAACAATCTTCTTTATCAGGATTAAAAAAAAAAAAATGTTACTCTCTTCCGATCCTATTTCCACAGTAAAAAAAAAGACATCGGGTTCATTCAGACTGTATTGTCAGAAAAGGAGCCAAGGTTTGAGGGGTGGAAACCTTGTCATTTTCACCTTTAAATCATCTCCTGGCGTCACCTCTGCCTGACGAGACCTTTGAAGTGATGGGGAGATAATGTGCAGTTTCCTGATGAGAATCAGTTTATAGTTGCCGATGGACCATCCCCACTCCAGTGCATTCGGGGCAGAGTAAGGCAGCAAAATGTAGGAGCAGGGCTGCTATACGGTGCTGTAAGTAGCAGTAGTCTGTTTCAATACATCCCTCCGCTCTAAAGTATCACATGTCTTAAAGTGACATTACCCTCTATTACAGCTACAGTGAATTGTAATATCTGCCTACTAACTCTTCAACAACTCAAGCAGCGCTTTAACATTATATTGCCTGATTTATTACATTAGAAGTCCTACTGATACCACTGATTTAACAAAAGAGTAAAGAGGGAAGGAGAAACAAGAAAAAAGCATTCTGCAAAATACTGATAGTATTAGTGGGAGTTAGACTTCTAACAGTAAATGGGAAAGTGAAATATAAGCCATTTCTTACCTCTTAATGTTCTTTTTACCAGTAAATTAACCACAAATATTGTCAGGTTTATACTAATTTAAGTCTGCTGGTTGTTTCAGCAGTTAAATAGACTAGAATTTACCTGGAATAGGACATAGATGCGTATATGCATAAGTCCAATAAAAACCTTCTGAACTTTTTGAACATGTTTAATAAATAAAAATATGTTATTTTCAGCATCAAATGAAGAAATATGCTCACAGCTCTTTTTTAAAAAATTTTTCCTCTCCTTCAAATAACATGCTGGGGTGGGGAGGGAAAACACTCAGAAGTTCAACATCTTCTTCCTCTTACTACGGTTTGAACCCTTTCTTCTTCAGAAATATAGTATAATTTTGCCTAAATTTCAATGATGAATACAAGATGACCTAGTTTTCATTTATAGATTGTGCTGGTAATAATTCTCTGAAATACCCTCAGTTATTTCACAAATCACTTATAAAGCACCTACTATGTGTTAGGTGCCTGGGAACAAAGCAGAAAACGTGATTGATGAGATCCCCACTGTTATAGATGATACTGTCTAATCTTTTATGGTGTTTTCAAAATCAAGGTAGTTCTCATAATATTGCTTCCTTGGAAACATTTTGAAATTCCCCAGAATACTCTCTTGCCTTTCAGAGGCACAATAAAGAAGGTCCAATGCTGCTGCACATCTTTGCAAGTGATTCTGTTTTCTCATGTTACACACAGTGAGAGAGTTAGGGATCCTTCAGACTCGTCAGTCTTGCCAATTGGTCTTTCACATTGCACAAAACACACATAATAGCTCTTTGTAACATAACAACTGTTCTCTAAATCTTACCTCTAAACAGATTTCTAAGTAATAGTAAATATTAATCTCACAGTTAAAAATGTCAAAGTTCTAGTTGGTGTTGCATGTTTCACATCTGTGCCTCATTATTATTGTTCATGAGTGTGTACAGAAAGTTTACACTGACTGTACAGCATCAAGATAAAAAAATAATAACAGCAGTGGCAGCAGGTAATGTTTATCAAACCTTCACCAGATGCTAGCACATTCTATAGTATGTCTTGTAAAGTCTAATTTAATTCTTTTTACCAACCCCACAAGATAAGTATTATTATTATCTCTGTTTCACAGATGGGGAATGTGAGAGGAGACAGGAAGATTAAAGAACGTGCACAAGGTTGTGTGGTAGTAAAAGACAGAGCAGATTTCAAGCCCAAATGATTTGGCTCAAGAGTACATTCTTAAACACTGGGATAAAATATTTAATGGAAAAAAAATCCAAAAAAATAACTATTATATTTTCTTATTTCTTTAACATTAAGATAGTCTCAAAAAATGATTATTCATTCTTTCTAGAGGTACATATTACACCAGGCATTTGAAATATAGAAGTATACAAGATGGCTTTTGCCCCGTGATTGTTGTTGGTTGTGGTTTTGCTATGCTAATGAATTAAAATTAAAAGGAAGTTCACCTTTGCTAATAAAGGCTACTATTTTGAAAACCTGTAACCATTATGTTTTTCATTTCTAGAGATTAAAATAAGGGTCAAGATAGTTACTTCCATAATTCAATTTAATCGACCACCTAATGGATTACATTCAAGGCATTCAGATAGGCATTGCTGACAATTAAGAAAAAAATACTGGAATAAAGACTCGCCTTAACTATCATTCTAAATGCATGTAATGAAGCAAGAATATTAGCATAGTTCTATTTTTTTCTTCCAAATACCTTGCAGTCCATTGCATTGCAGCCAATGATCATTTGTCCTAATAATGTAAGAATCAACATATATTGATCTTTGAGGCCATTTAGTGTATTCTCCCAACTCAAAGCAAAACTACTCTCACATTTTTCAGAGAAGTTGAGCCTTTCCACCTTCTGACCATAGTAGGATTGCACTTCCTGATCCCTTTAGGGTTGGGTATGCCATAAGGTTCAGCCAGTGAGGTGTCATTAGAACTGATGTCATTTCCTCAAGCAATAGAGCATTTAATTGCTGAAGTGACACCCTCAGATCTCTTCTTGCCTTTGAAGCAGGGACAAGTTGCACTATCAGCCTGAGTCCTTGAGCAGAGGCCTCCTCTTCCCCTACCAATCTTTAATGGATCTACCTAGTGAATAAGAAATAGTTTTTTTTAAGCAATTGCAACTTAGGAGTTATTTGTTATTGCAGCATCATCTAGTCTATACTGACTGATGAAAACTTTATCTTGTAATTCACTTATTAATTGAATTTTTATGTTCCATGCACTGCACTAGGCCATGAGGAGAGCATTATACACATCAGTAATCACAACTATGTCTTAAAAGTACAAAGCATTCACAAGGTAAACACCAAACAAACAAAAGCAGCAACCAAAAAAAAAAAAACAACAACAACAAAATAAAACCCAACTACTGCTTAAGAAAGAATAAAAATCCTTAGTAGCAACAAGGAATGCACACAGTTGGAAAGAGAGGCTAAATCATTTTCTATCAAACTGGCAATATTCTATACTATAATTTGAATCTGGATCCGTAAGGCAGAATTTTCAGTAACTGTAAGAAAAAGAAAATGGGAGACAAGATTTTTCTTAGGCTGGAAAAAAAGATAACCTTCATGTAGGAGTCTCATTTTTCACCTCCAGCAGCCTATCTCTACAATTACTTTATCAACTATAATTCCTCATTGCTTATCTTGTCTGTCTTCCAGGCAGAAGAAAAAGAAAGAATAAGGTCATTTCTTTTGTTCTTACGCTTCTCATTTCTTTATTCTTTATTCTCCTTTTAGGACTGAGAGAAAGTTGAAATCCCACCAGCTTCACCTCCTTTTCTCTAACCAAAGCAATACATGTATATTTTTATAGCAACAAAGTAGTCTCTTTTTTTTGCAAGGATATGAACATATATCAGAAGCATATAAAGGTCATGAAAATGTTTGCTTTGGCAATAATAAAAACAATAATATGTTTTTTTGGTTTACAAAACTTTCAAATCCATAGCTGATTTAATATCAGATCCCCCAAAGCTACTCAATTCCAATGGCCATTCAACAACGCAATAGTTTGAGCCAGAAATGAAGACTCTTCTGGCCATGTCCCTCCCCATAAACTTCTGCATCCAATCAGTCACTACCACCTATTAATTCTACTTCCTGTTTATGCCTCAAATCCATCCACTTTCTCCCTCTCCATTCAACTACCCTCATCCAGGCTACCATCATCTTTTACCTGAACTATAGCAAGTATACTTGTCTTGGAGTATGTACCTCCCACCTGTGTCTCCCCGACTCTGCATCTTGAGGGAGCATATTTAAGACACATGATCATTATGTCACTCCTGTTACTTAAAAGCCTTTCAATAGTTTCCCACTGCATTTAAAATAAAGTCCAAATCTTATGTCCATGGTTGACAAGGCTCTGCATGAACTGACCCACCTACTTCTCTAGCCTCATCTCTTACAAATGTTCTAATTCTTGGCTTCTACTAGGCTCTTATCTTGGATCCTTGAATAGGATGGAGAAACTTTCTTCCCAAAGCCTTCTCTAGTACTCCAGACAAGATCAGGTCATTGTGCTATGTCCCCTTATATCCCTTGTTACAGCACCTCTAGAATCTTAAATACAAGTGTTAATAGCTATTTCTGGAATTATTTGTTTAATGCCTGCTTTATCTCCTTATAACAATCACCATGAGGGCAAGGAGGACAAGCATATTGGTCACTGCTGCATCTTCAGAGTCTAACATACTGCCTGGCATATAGTAGACAATAAAATGCTTGAATGACTAAATGAATAATAATAAATGAATCAAAAATAAAATACTAATTCACCATCAGGATGGCATGCATAATGAGCTGCCTTTACAGAAATAAGTAGCTTTGACCAGGCACGGTGGCTCACGCCTAGAATCCCAGCACTTTGGGAGGCCGAGGCGGGCAGATGGCCTGAGGTCAGGAGTTCAAGACAAGCCTGGAAAACATGGTGAAACCCTGTCTCTACTAAAAATATGAAAATTATCTGGGTATGGTGGCAGGTGCCTGTAATTCCAACTACTCAGGAGGCTGAAACAGGAGAATTGCTTGAACCCCAGAGGCAGAGGTTGCAGTGAGCCGAGATCACCATTGCACTCCAGCCTGAGTGATGAGAAACTCGATCTCAAAAAAAAAAAAAAGAAAGGAAAGAAATAAGGGTGACCACCTTGTCCTGTGTTAGCCTATTGCAATGACACTAAGTAAAGGAAACTGGCCTGTACACCGTTTAAACAATGCCTACTTGCCACTAAATTTGTGTTGGAATTTTTTTGCTAGAAGAAAAAAAAAGGAAACTGTCCTGAATTTTCTACCCTGGTTCTCAGTATTTGATATCCAATATGATCTGATGGTAGAGCTCACAGCTGATCCCTGGAGAATAAAAAAAGTCTACAGATGTTAAAAGTCAAAAGAAAGCACTTAAAATTTCAGTATATTGGACCTAGAAGAGACCCCCAAAATCTCCTAGTCTAGCCTCTTACTTTTAGAAGAAAGATGAAGACCTAAGAAAGGGGAAGAGGCTTACTCAAGGGAACGTGGTAAATTAACTAGCATAGATGATGTTAGAATACAACTTTCCCAATCTAATGTTACTCTTTTGTATGCTTCCCCTCCCTCCAACGTAGACACACACATACACACACACACACACAGAGAGAGGGGGGGGGGGGGGATAGAGAGAATGAGAGAGAGAGAGAGCACTATTCAAGAGAACTTTCGGCAGTGTGGAAGATGTTCTCTATTTCTGCTGGCTAATATGGTAGCCACTATTGACATGTAGCTATTAAGCATTTGAAACGTCAGAAGTGCAACCAAGAAACTATTTTAAATTTAAATAGCCACATCTGGTTGATAGCTACTGTATTGGACAGCACAGTTCTAGAATACACCAGCCAGGTCAAGGAAAATAAAACCTGTGATTTTGAATAATTTTTAGTAAGCTAGAAGAAAGATCTTTAATTACCTGATAGTAACCTTCCAGGATGAAAATAGCATAGAAAGAAAGAAGTAGGATGTGTTTGGTTACAATTAACAGAAAAACAAACATGCACACACAAAATTCAAACTGGAGTAAATAATAAAGAAGATGTATGGTTTCCTATGGGTTGATAGCCCACAGGTGGCACTCACTTGCAGTTGGGTTTGATCAGCAATTCCACTAACCCATGAAAGAACTAGCTTATTTCCAACTCTCTCTGCCTTCCAGGATTTCTATTCATTCTAAGGCAGGTGTCTCCTCACGGCTGAAACATGGCTGCCAATGGCTGCCTGGGCTATGTGCTTCCTCATCCACATAGGAACAAGAGAAACGATTGTTTTGGGTTTTTCTCACATGAGCAAGGATTATTTATTCCTAGCTTCCTCCAGCAAATTACTTGTCATGCCTCATTAGTTTAACTTGGGTCACTTGCCCCTCCTTAAGCCAGTGACCTTGACCAGGGGGAAGGATCACATTGTTGGGCTTAGAACTACAGTACATGCCACATCCCTAACTCAGGAGAGCATCCCCCAAAAGAGATGCATGCAGTGGGGGAGGGTGGCACTTAAAGGAGAATTAGGATAATAATGGGAAAAGGAGAATGAATATTGAGGGCATAATTATAATGTTGACTAAGGCTAGCAAAGCTTTCATATGTACTTTTAGGACTAAAGGACTTTGATATGTTTTATAATTTCTTCCTACGTATAAAATAACGTATTCATATGTTAAAAGGTAGATAAGATCTAAACTAAAAATTTTAAAAGTCATCTATAACCTATCACACAAATGTTACCAGTATTCACATTTAAGTGTACATACTTCTAACACTTTTCCAAACATGCCTATTTGGTGCTGTTGTTTTTTTAAAAAAATTGTAATTTAATATATGGTTTTTTTTGTTTAATTTTTTTTGTTTAATATATGTTTTTTATGTTTTATGATTTTTCATTGTATTTTTCATATTTTATTATTTTTTCCTCAAAATATCACATTTCTCATGTCAGTCCTCTAATGGTGCTCTTAATCCACTTAACCAATCTAAAGTATTGTGCTTTTGTTTCTTGAAATATTCAACTTCCATTCACTGCTTGTTAATTGTGGTTGATTTTACTTTTGTGGTAGTAAATTTTTTACTACATGAAACAAAAAATTAAAAACAGGAATGCCTTTCTTTTTCTATAGGATCCTACATAGTGTCAGTGGTTAACTACAAAAAAAAGGTAATCATACATATATCTTATTTTCTTGGTGTGGGCTTAAGTCCTATTAACTTTTCTGGACTTCCTAGGTTTATATCTGATTTGCCTTTAAGTAAATTTCTGAAGAATAGAAGTCTTTGGCTTACTGTTAATATAGCTGATTATTCTCTTTTGTCTGGCTTGAGTTTTTAATTATGTGAACTAGACAATTTCCAGAAATAGTAGAAAAACACAGGAAAATAGCAATATATATATTTTAATCTATATCTCTTTGGGTCTTCCTCCTTTTATTTATTTTTTAATGTAGTCAGAGAGGCAATCTAACAGCAGGAATGAGATAATGAACTCTGGAGTCAAACTGCTTGAGTCTATTTCAGCTCTACCTCTTACTAGCTGTTGGATTCTATGTAACTTCACCTAAGTTGCCTCACTGATACCTGCTTCAAAAGATCATTGCTAGATGCATATCAGTGTATCTGGTATACCATAAATTTCTATAAAGTTTTAAAATTAAATTTGATTTATTTGGTGTAATTAAGATTTTGCTCAGAATTGTAAGATGTTTTCTCACTTCTCTATACCTTTGAATGTGCAAATGTATAGAATTCTATTGAAACATTCTTTCTATTTGAAAAATCCTTGCTCTGTCTTTCATTTCTACCTACCATTTCCCTTCCCCTTCCTTTTTCCTAACTCAGCTTGCTTTTCCAGATTAGGTTCTTGATGTCATTCTCTATGGAGTTTCTCTTGGCCTCCCAAGTCTAAGTTAGAGATCCCTCCTCTACACTCCCATAGATTCTGTCAACTGCACTTGCTGTAGCATCTATTGTTCTGTGTCATATTTCTCTATTATTGTCTCTCCACTAGACTATCTTTTATGTCCATATAATTAGGCAAAGTAGCATAGTGCCTTTCAGCTCCTCAAACATATTATACCATTTTTTTTTTTCTTATTTTTGTTTTTTTGAGGTGGAGTTTTGCTCTGTTGCCCAAGCTGAAGTACAGTGACCTCGGCTCACTGCAACCTCTGCCTCCCAAGTTCAGGGAATTCTCATCCCTCAGCCTCCTGAATAGCTGGGATTATAGGCACAGACCACCACACCTGGCTAATTTTTGTATTTTTAGTAGAGATGGGGTTTCATCATGTTGGCCAGGCTGGTCTCGAACTCCTGGCCTCAAGTGGTCTGCCCACCTTGGCTTCCCAAAGTGCTGGGATTGCAGGCATGACTCACCACACGCAGCCATATTATACCATTCTGGACTCAAAGCTTTTGCACATTCTGTTCTCTCTTTCAGAAACATTTTTCCATTTTACTATTTTCCCAGATAGCCCTTTCTTTATCCCCCCTGATTTCAGAGATACTTTCTCTGACCATATCACTCCTTTCTTGAAAATATGTAATTATTTCCCAATGCACAGAATATAATGTCTGATTTTTTAAAAACTAGATCCAGCATGTACTGATATCCACACCTATTTCCAACCTAATATTATTCCACTTTTCCCTAAACACCTGCACATGCACCATGCTCCAGTCACTCTGGTCTTTTCTCACTAATTCATTTGGGCAGTCATTTGTTTACCAAGGACTCACTCAACAAATGAGGTACGGAGACTAGAACTCAATTACTGTTGAAGAAGATAATCATTTCCCTGCTTCATACACTCCAAACCCTTTCCAGATTTAAGGCCTTTAATGTGCTATAAGCTCCTGTTTTATTTATCACTATTCACTCACCATCTGGCAATGTACCTGGCACATAGTAGGTGCCTAATCAATATTTATAGAACATATGAATACATGAATGTGCGAATGAATGAATACACAGTCACTTCTCATTTATTCATGTTTTAGGTGTTTTATGAATTTGCAGCAAGATTCTAAGCAAGCCGTTGGCAGTGGGCTGAGCAGGGAGGAGGCTGGGAAGAATTTCAGATGATGTGTCTGTATGTGTATGGGTGTTTGTGTGGGAATCTGAGTCTGAGAGTGCCTAAATGTGCATCTCCAACCTCATCCTAGTGCCAGAGGAAAATGCTTTTTGCATCACTTCTTCTTTTCTCCACCCCTTTGTCCCCTTCTTCTAACACACCCTATTGACAGTACGCCTTCCCTACTCTTGGTTTCCACCCTCACATTCAGGTTTTTGTCATAGTGTAATGGAGAACATGTGGTATCTCTGGGAGTCCCAGCTCTGGGAGAAGAATCTAACAGTTACAAGTTTAGAGTAGAGAAAAAGAGAATTATAAAAGGGAGTTCAAGGGAAGAGGGGATGAGAACACGCCTCGCATGCTCATGTTTGGAGTCCCTAAGCCAGAAATCCTCAATCTTGGCAGTAAGTTACAATAATCTGGAGAGTTTTTAAAACTCTAAATGCCCTGGCCCCCACCCAGATCAATCAAATCAGGAACTCTGGAGATGGGACTCAAGCAATAGCGTTTTTCAAAGCTCCCTAAGTGGTTCCAATTTGCAGCCAAGTTTGAAAACCACTGCATTAAAACAAAAATGTACAGCAGAAGGCCTCTGGTCACTATGGCAACCCCCAAAATACCTGCAATTTCTTGTTATTTAGTTGTCAACTAAGAGATATGTTCTCTGTGTTTAACAGATTTAAGGTTAGCCCAAGGTAGGCATCTTTATTGAATGCTTACTATGTGCTTGGTACGATAATAGCTACCATATAAAACCTCCATTTCATTAATTTGTTTTTTTTTCTAGTTCATATTTAACTGTGTAGATCATATGAAACTTAAGTGTTCAAAGCCATGTTTGGTAGATTTCATGGTTGCTTCCATTACTTATGATCCTTCCTGATTTTCACTTATGTAACCACAATCTCTCTGCCAAGCTAACCGCTGGTTCCAGAAGTCTTTCCTATAGTTCACGGTAGCCCCATTCCCTTGACATGATCACACATATGAACAAAAGTCAGTTTGGGCCAAAGTCATGCAAGGACAAGTTTTCAGGGATCTTCTAAAAGACATTTCCTCACTTGTCTAAGACAGCCTCAAAAAGTGATTTTCTCTTTTCATCCAGAGTTGTATAAAAAAGCATAACATTAATCAGGAGTCATTAACTGATATTTTCAGATTCTGAAGAGCCACCAACCTGTCAGGATGAGGCCGACACCCTGGAAAGAAGAGTAAACAAGCTGGGGAAATGTCCTTTTTTGAATCAAACCAATCTGAAAGTCCACTCAACACTAGGCTTTCCCTGTGATGAATTAAGACAGCTTCAGTTGGGCTTTCTGTTGTTACTTGGAATCAAAAGCATTCTAACTAACTGAGCACTAACACACAGCCTATAACAATGGAAATATAAAACCAAGATTATCCTATAGATAATTTAATCTGGACTCTCAGTTTAAAAATAAACAGACTAAGATTCAAAGAGCTGAAGTGCCCTGTGTAAGGCAACACAGTCTACCTGGGACTGTATTACCTAGAGCTGGGCCTGGAACTCAAGTGTCCTCATTGCCAGCTCACTGCTCATTCTACTGAACTATAAAGACATCTTCATTGTGAACATTCACTTTAATTTTCCATTCTTGTTAAATTAGTTGTAATGACCCTAATTTTTGAAATGTTGTAAATTTCCTTGGAAGGAACTCTCTCTAGAAATATATAGTCTCAGCCCTCTCTCAACAGACACACCCAAAACTTATAGATACAATTTGATTGTTAAATGTAGACATCATGAAAGAATATGGAAAACTGTTGAAAATATATATCACACAGCTCACCCCCAACCAAGAAAAAAATTAAAAATTCTACCCGGCTAGGCTGCTTCACTAAATGATGTTGCTGAATATATAAAATACTTGAATCTAAATTTGAAAGTGCTCCCCCCTCCCCTTGATTAACCAGATTGTCCCCTCCCCTATATATAGGAACGCTATGTGCCTGAGCCCACTTGCCATCTGTCACCACATTTTCCAAACTTCTCTTCCACCCCCTCCTCTTACACAATCTTATCACATAAAAATATTAGATTTCAGGGATTTGTATAATTTCATCAGATTTTCTGAGCAAAGTAAAAATAGAAGATGTACTGGTATACTAAACTGACTCAGTTTTTGAGTGCCCAACACATATCTATGGCAGCCAGTAAAGCCCTTTACACAGACCTTATGTGGCCAGGAATAGCAAGAATAAGGTGTTTATTTTTCCCCCTGTAGTATGGTATTGCACATTAGGAATTTTCAGGCATTCCCCATATTACAGAGACGAATTTGGATAGTTTCCAGGGAGTCCTGACTCATATAACATTATAATACTTTGTTTATTAGCTTTTGTAAAGTTTGGTAAGTTTTCCCAGATCATTGGAAAATACTTACAAGCCAACTGGGGAGTATCCATATTGCTGCTTCCGCCTTACAGTTTAGGAGATGAATTCTAACCATCTAAATATATGGTACCTCCACTCACCCAGGTGCTTCGGCCAGAAACTTAAGAGTCTCCTTCGTTTGCTGTATTTCCTACCTCTCACAACCAATCCATCAGAAATACAAGCTAACGCTTTTGTTTGCAGATCCCACAGGAAGCCTTTAAAGAATATCCAGGGAAATTGGCTATGAAGTATCAAGCCTACTACCCAATATATATTTGTTAAGGATGGTCCTGTGGACTAGGTTCTTTCCTATTTCTCTGCATGTGTAGGAGAAAAGAGCTTGTAAGAAGCCCCCTGTTGTGTCTACCAAGCATCTTACTTTCTTCCATCTGCACCCCTGATGGCTTTGAAAGATTCCTCAATCACAGACCATTCTCTGATCATCAGGTTGGTCACATGACTCAAGCCTGACCACTCGGGAATTCCCATGCTCTGTCAGCAGAGATTGGCTCAAGTGTGGGCACATTACCCAAGGAAGAACACAGGGGAGGAGGGGATTTACTTCCTTTATAGTGGTGGCTACTTTTATCTTTGAGGAAAAAGGTTACCTGGGGAAGCAGAGAATACAATCATACCCACAAGAGAAAGAGGAAAACTAGGGTTGAAGATGGAGAGAGAGAAGGAGGGAGAAGGATAAGAATAGAGTCTAAATGAAGGTTACAGACTATGGTTTGCCTTCTGTTTTTATAAATTAAGTTTTACTGGAATACAAACATGCCCATTTGTTTATGTATTATGTATACTTGCATTCAGGCTACAACAGTAAAATTGTTGGAATGGATACCATATCTAATGGGTTATTCCTGACTGAGGGCACATGAAGTATGCTGTCCTTCTCAAAGATCTTATAATTTAGTGAAGGGCAAGAAATGTAAACATTAAAGCACAATAAGATAATGGGAATCAAGACAAAACTCAGGATAGAAATAAATCTAACAAAATAACAATGCTAACAATGATAATGTTCCTGATGATGACAGATACCATTGATTGACTGCATAGTGGCACTGTGTTGCCTCTCTAAGTATATTGTCACTCATCCTCCAAACAACCTTGCCAAATAGATGTTTCAGTTAGGATACAAAAATGTTTGCTGTAATAACAAGCAACCCCAATAGCTCATGCTGCATATCCAGTGGGGGTCAGTAGGAGGATTTGCTTATTGTAAACAGCCAAGATCCCAGGATAATGAAAGCTTTCTCCATATGTTTTCATATTTGCCTCACTGGGGGAAGGGACCATTGTAAATCACACACTGTCTCTAAAAATGTCTGTCCACTAGTGAAACACATCCCTTCCACTCACATTTCATTAGTCAAAACAAATCATTTAACCATTCCTAAACTGAAAAGTACTGGTGGAAAGTAATGCTACCATGTGCTTAGAAAGACAAGAGCTATAAATATTTAGAGAATGCCAGGGCATTAGTCAGGGTTCTCCAGAGAAACAGAACCAATAGGATATAGATATATTGACAGTTTATAGATATAGATAGATGATATAGATATAGGTATAGATATAGACATAGATAGACATATGAGGAGATTTATTAGGGGAATTGGCTCACATAATTATGGAGGCTGTGAAGTCCCACGACAGGCTGTCTGCAAGCTGGAGATCCTGGGATGCCAGTAGCGTGGCTCAATCCAAGTCCAAAAGTCTCAGGACCAGGGAAGCTGATGGTGTAAGTCTCAGTACAAGGCCAAAGGCCTAAGAACCCAGCAGGTTGCTTGTGTCAGTCCTGAAGTCCAAAGGCTGGAGAGCCTGGGGTTCTGATGTCCAGGGCCAGGAGGAGAAGAATGTCCTAGCTCTAGGAGAGACAGAAAGGAAATCTTTTTCTCTCCTTTTTTGTTCTATCTGGGCCCCCAGCCAATTGGATAGTGCCCACCCACATTGAGGGTGGATCTTCCCCACTCAGTCCACTGATTCATGCACCAGTCTCCTCTGGAAACCTCACAGACACAACCAGAAGTAATACTTTCCAGCTTCCTAAGTATTCCTTAATCCAATCAAGTTGACACCTCAAATTAATTATCACAACCATGAATCTGTACTCAAATGGGTATTATTAGTGTTCACTTTTCCAATGAGAAAGCATAGTAAGAGAAGTTAGGAGACTTCCTCAAGGCTGTCAGTTAATAAGTAGTAGTGTTAAAATTGAACCCAAGTCAGTATGAATCTAAACCCCAAGACATTTTTGTTTTGTTTTACCATGTCAACATCTTTTCTCATCAGCTTTGTGTTAGATGATTGAATAAAATAGTAAATTTACATGATGTAGGACCAAGCAAGAGATGTAAAACATTTGGGTTTGATGAGCTTGGAAATAGTAAGCCCTTTAATATTTTTAATAAAGACATTTACATTATATAAGCAATACTTAATAAAGATATGGACAGCAGTTTTGACCAGAGAATTGGGTCTGCAGTGGGATAAGAGAGCAGTATAAAAGTTGGGATAAGATAATGCAAAAAAAAAAGTGAGAGAGAGATTGAAGAGGAAGAGAGAAGTGAGTAGTTAGAAGGGAGGTTTCAGACAGAGACCTTTCCTGCTCTTGAGTAGCTTAAGTATAATTCTTTCCTAAAAGGTTCAGGTTCAAATATTTATGAGACAGAGTTACTATTCCTTTTAGAGGCGTGTCAAGTGTAAAAGAGGAGGAAAAATTTGTTTGTGAAGGGAGTTTACAGTATACTTAAAGTTTATTTTAAAAATAAATAGGACTTGATAGGGCAATAAACAACAGGCCCCATCAGTAACCTGCCAGGAGCACTAACAGGAAGCATCTGTAGGCTGCCAAGAGCCAGAAATAAGAATGAACAATTCTTACCGTCAGAGTCACAGGACAAAGTCACAAGTCACAAACAAAGTGACAGGACAAAGTCAGAGTCACAAACAAAGAGGATATTTGGGATGCAGCATCTCTAAGCCAAGTTACTCTCTGTTATGAGCACACTCACAGTTATGTGGAATACACCCGCACAGGTAAAATCACATCTGAATCAGATGTTGCTGGTTCCCTTTGCTACGAATTCCAGATGTTGTTTTAGCTTGAAATTATGACACAGCACACAAAAATATATGGGGATCTTTAGAGAAATGTAATAGCATAAAGATATTAAACTTTGTATGCTGTCAGTAATTAGGAAGTATATGTGGCCAAGAAGATTTTATGTGTTCTCTCCAACCACTTATTATTTTAATATTTATATGTATTAAATGTACACAGGCATGACTATTTAGGTGCTCCTACAATATGCTGGGCATGATTACAGGAGCTAGGGATGCAGACGTGAAGAAGAGAAACAATCTTTACCTTCATGGAGCCTCATATTTTACTGGAAGAGTAAAATGAGGACACAAATGCACAAGGTGATTAAAGATTGGGGCATGTGACCTGAATGTAAGAAAAGAATGGTATCATGGAAAACCTGGGGAACAAGGAGTGGAACTGACTGTAGGTAGTGGTCAAGGAGCCCTTTGGGGTACTAACCTTTGAGGTGAGAACTAAAAGGTAATAAGCAATCATGCAGTTGACAAAGCATGATATATATTTGGGCTTGCTTCAATTATAGGTCAGTGCACAAGTAATTGCAGTTTTTGCAGTTTTAATGATAAAAACCACAATTACTTTTGCACCAACCTAATAATAAAGACTTTCTTTCTGGAGACAAAAATATAATAGAGCTAATAGAGCTGGGTTGTGAAGCTCAATGGATTGGGGATCTGAGATTTGTTCTGCCTGAGATCTGAGATCCGAGTCTCTGTTTTCCCACTTAATAGCTGTACACCCTTAAGTTAGCCATCTAAATTTTATGAGTGCGGATTTCTTCATGTGTAAAATGTGTGGGTTGGGCCGGCAGATCTCTAAAATCTCCTCTAGCACGAAAAGTCCATACTACTTTCTCTTCTGTTGCCGCTGCAATAGTGTCCATATGCTTTCTCTCGACACACACACACACACACACACACACACACACACACACATAAGAATATGTGTATTAAGTCTTCTACTTTCAAACTGCTGTCAGAAATTGACCCTGGGAAAAATAGGAAATGATGTTTCAATACGATTTGAATATAAGTGAAAATCAACCTTAGCTCTTTACTCCCTTTCAAACACTACTTTGCTGAGATAACGTATTAGCTATTCCATAAAGGTCCCTGGGCCTTTATCTTATCTTAAGACCTTATATTAGAGGATACACCACTCCCATTTCTCAAACTATCCATCAGAGGCCACAGCCTTGGATGCTCCGTGTGTGTGTGTGTGTGTGTGTGTGTGTGTGTATGTGTGTGTGTGTATCTGTGTCTGTGTGTGTGTGTGTCTGTGTGAGACTCTTCCTCCTTACTCTCCCCTCAATGCAGCTCGACCCAAGTGCATCTGATGGGCTGTTTGATGACCTGGGAAATAATGGGAAAAGATGAGGCAGTCCAATGGATTTGCTTCCAAGGAATTTGGATTTGGGATTGTAAGACAGTGGATAGGTTGGTTGCAGGGCCCAAAATGAAGGACACATAAAAGCCTACAGAAGCATAATGATGACAAAGCATTCGAATGAAGCCTGTGGACTCCATGTCTGTTGAGGCTCCCAGACCTGTTTAAATCCAGACTCATTTTCCAGTTCTGTCTCCCGCAAGGCCCAGGCATTATAGTATTTCCTGCCCCTGATTTCTATGAAATTTCTCCGGGTCCTATCAGCAACCACATTTCTACCTTAACTGGAATTCTTTCAGTCAAATTACATTCACTAAAACAAAGAGTGTCTCATTCAACAAATAAGATAAACTCCATGAAGATGTTAATGGTGCACAGATTTAGAAACAGGAGTAAGACATACAAACAGGGGAAAGGCGGCCAGGAGCTGTTGGCACGGGGAGAGGTAAATGACGCCTGTAGCAAAAAAATGGATTCCACGAAATGCAGTTAGGGGTAGGGGTGGGCAGGTGCTCCAAAACTGGCCTGGGAGGATCTAAAAGAGAAGGCTGAGAGGAAGAAATTTGGCCTACAATTTTGCTAATGAGAAGTACTCAATTCCACAGGATAGAAACTGTCCTCAAAGCTCCCAAAAAATGTTTATCTTCTTCTTCCAGGTACCTTACAGCATCGTGCCTAATATATAGTAAAAGTAATAATAATACTACTTATTCGTAGGGGCTTGAAATTGTCTTTCAGGCACCACATAGAAAGACATTCTCTCCTAGTCATTCTTTAAAGACTCTATTCTTCTCCCACTGGGCCACTTGTTAAACATTTTTCTTAATTCTGTGGCTTATGATTCTCCACTTAGGAATCATGGGTAGGACAATTAAGCTTGTAATTTTTAAGAAGAGGATGGTATGGAGTGATTGTCCAATAGTCACTTCCAGCCACCAGCTGTGATGAGTCTATAAAACGTTTCATTTGAACTTAAAATACAGCACACTGTTCCAAAAGGTAGAAATATTCTAAGTCAAGTTATTTATCCTCATAAAATAGTATCTCCCCCACCCCCAGTACTAGCAACAAAGCAGAATTATTCTGTATTGCTTGAAATGTAAACATCTAATGCTTAAGGAATGACTGAATAGATATTAAACCTAGTTTCATCCAGTGCTGTAGACAGGTAAAGTTCTAAAGAGAGTAAGGCTGAGCAAAGGTCATTTAGCTGAAAGATGCTTATTTGGATTGAACATCTTCTCTGCTCTAGGGTAAGCAAGGACAGATCGGCAATCAGCTTATAAAAGCAGGCACTGTGTGCCATCCATAATGTAGACCTATATATCTGACCTAAAGAGGCCACCGCTCATGTTTCCAGAGTGGAAAAATGCATATGAAATACCTTACCTGTATGAAAAGATCCTTCTGTTTAGTCAGAAGTGGGCCAGCAAACTGACACCTTGACAGCATGCTGAAGAGTCTAGCAAAGGGGGCAGGAGGGGATGTGGACTTCATTCCTTCCTTGTCTCAGTCTCTAAAGCACAAGGACATTTTTGCTCTAGAAAATGACACTTTGTGTAGGTTCAGAATTTTTAATCATGTGCAACTGTTCTCCGAGTGTAAAATCTGATTGTTGCTACAGATGCAACTTTTCTAAAGCCACCATGTTAATCACAGTTGTTATTTCCTGACCATTGGAGTAGCCCTCAACACTCTATCCAAATTTTGATGATCCGTGGGGGAAGAACAGGATAAGTAGGAAAGGGAGATAGATGGGGGTTTCTTATCTTGAGCATTTTAATTAATCCAGTCTCATAAAGTAATTTAAGTCAATGGATGGCTTAAGCCTGATTATGAAAGCATTGCTATTGAAATGGAAGCCTTGGAAATAACCTTAGGAAGAATTTTTTTATAGTTTGGATCCAACTCTGTCCAGAGTGCTCAATCCAGGGCTGGAGAAACTTATAAATGGTTTTCCCTTCCAAACAGTCTGAATGACAACCATATCATACTTCTTTCAAGACAGATGGTGAGAGCACAGTTTGCCTTTCAGTTTCAATTCACTGCCATCTTTTCTAAGCAGCATGGTTAAGCGAGCTGCTAAAGAGAACGGCCTCCCAAGCCATTCTGCCTAATTTTAACAATACTGGGATGAAACCTCATGCTTTAATATTATGGTTAACTTTCCCAAAGTGTTTTATGAAACTTGCCTTAAATTTGCCATCCGAGATTCATAACTGATAAAACGTAGGCAACCTCCCTAAAAATAAATACATGAGAAGTTTGCAATTTTTCCTATGTTCCTGACACCATTGTCTGCCTCTTGATTCGTGTGGGTGTTCCCATTTCCAGAATCTGGCTCACATTGTTTTCATAACTCCATTTTTTTCTGTCCCATGATGCCCTGAAAGAGAAGCCAAGATCCACCAAACTCTTAAGTATGCCATCTGGATTTATGTTTCTCTTGAATACCAACTTATTGAGAGCTTACTGTGCACCTCCCACTGTGCTAAACCTTATATTTTTTTATCTGTGTTAATCACACAATACTGAAAGATTAATGCTATTTTATAGATGAGAAAACAGCCTCAGATAGGTTAGGTACCTTTTCCGACGTCATACGTCTCATAAATAGCAGAACAGAAATGCAAACTTGGGTATAAGGTTCTAACCTTCACTAAACAGCACCTTCATTTAATTCCATGGCTCAGCAGGATGCTTGAGCACTGACTCTAGCATCCTTACTGATCAATAGCAGACTTACCTTTGAAATTCCAATCCAGTCCTCCGTTTTGGTGGCTTCCCACTTGGCCACTAAATATCTGTATTATTTTGTGCCTAGACTGGGTAAAAAGAAGCTGATTCTCTTTGGGGTAGGTACAGAGATAGTTCAAGCAGTCCTTGCCAAATGAAGAGTGGCTATCATCACTTATATTGAACCTCTTTCTACCGGGGAAATTCCAGAAGATCACAGACCTAGTCTTATATCCCAAGCTTGTAGCACAGAGTTCAACATTTAGATATACACATATTTGTTGAATAAATGAACAAGTGTATGAACAGAGACTTCATTACCCAGGGACAAGAAACTGCAATGGGAGAGCCTTTTACTCTGTCTTGCTTTGACCAATGATACTTCTGATACCAGTTCTTTCCTGATCCCTCAGTGCCAGTTCAGTTATCCGGAAATATCCCCAGAAACAAAACTTCCCTTGGGTCTTTCCCTGATAGAAAGCCCGTCCAGCGTGGTGGCTCACGCCTCTAATCCCAGCACTTTGGGAGGCAGAGGCAGGTGGATCACGGGGTCAGGTGCTCGAGACCATCCTGGCTAACACGGTGAAACCCCGTCTCTATTAAAAACACAAAAAAATTAGCCGGGCGTGGTGGTGGGCGCCTGTAGTCCCAGCTACTCAGGAGGCTGAGGCAGGAGAATGGCATGAACCCGGGAGGGGGAGCTTGCAGTGAGCCGAGATTGCACCACCGCACTCCAGCCTGGGCAACAGAGCCAGACTCCGCCTCAAAAAAAAAAAAAAAAAAAAAAAAAAAAAAACCAACAAAAAAAGAAAACCCTCGTCCACCAAGAAGCTTACCATTTATTTTAGAATAAATTTAACTTTTCTCAGGTGGCACTGTCATAATACTCTCTCTGTACTTAGCCTCCCGGGCATAAAAAGTTAAAAATTAAAAAATAGAGAGTGCTTTTTGTGCTTTAAATTAATCAGACTTCTGAACAACTAAATGATATTGTTAGTGATCTATCATTTTCATTCATTCAACAAATATATATGGAGCCACTGTGTGCCAGGTATATTCTAAAAGCTATGGATTTTGTGGGTATGAAAATGAAAGGGACAAGAATCCTTGCCCTTATGAAACTTAAATTCCAGTGGAGGGAGCCTGACAGGAAGCCAAATAGAGAAGTAAAACATAGAGTGTGTTGGGAGGTCACAAGCAGCAAGAAGAGAAACAGAGCACAGAAGAAGCGGAGTATGCCACGCGGAGGGCAAGGTACAATTTTAAATAGGGTGGGAATTATAGGTGACATGTGCGCCCCCATTAAGAAAACGTTTATTGACATCCTATTTTCCAGTGCCTCAGAATGTGATATTTGGAAACAGATTTGTTGAAGATGTAGCTAGCTATGATAAGGCTATACTGGAGTAGAGTGGGCTCTGAAACCAAAATGACTGGTGTCCTTCTAAGAAGATAGGGTGAAGACACACTGGGAGAGCACCACGACCACAGAGGCAGAGACTAGAAGGATACAGAGACAAGCCAAGGAACACCAAGGATGTCTGGCTATCACCAGAAGCTAGGAAGAGGAAAGGAAGGATTCTACCTAGAGTCTCAGAGGGAGTACAGCCCTGCTGGCACCTGGATTTTTCTAGCCTTCAGAACTGTGGGAGAAGAAATATCTCTTGTTTCCTAAGACCTGTGGTTGGTGGCACTTGTAACAGCAGCCCTAGGAAGCTTAATACAGTGGGCAAGGAGGCCTCATCTGTGAGGATGGCATCTGAGAAAAGACCTGAAGTTGGTGAGGGTAGGTATAAAAATAACTCAAGCAGTCCTTGCCAAATCAAAAGAATGGCTGTGATGCAATGGTCATCGCTTATATTTAACCCATTTTTACAGTGCAAATACCCAAAGTTCAGAGACCTAGTCTTACAACCCAAGCTTGTAGCCTAGAGCCCAACATTTAGATATGCAAACATTTGTTGAATAAATGAATGAACAAACAGGTGTATGAGCAGAGACATCATTATTCAGGGACAAGAGACTTCAGAGCATGTAGCTATCTGGGGGAGAGGGAATAAAAAATCCTAAGTACCTCAGGTAGGCATGTACTAAGCACAGAGGTCAGAGTGGCTGGGGTAGTGTGAGAAGAAGAGCAGTCAATGAAGCGAAAGGGTAAATGTGACACAAATACCAATGGTCTTCTAACACAGCAGTGTTCAAACTGAAACTCGGCATCATAATTACCCAGGTGACTTGTTAAAATACTGATTTCTGGGCTCAGCTCACCCTCAGTGTTTCTGGTTCAGCAGATCTGGGGCAGGGCCTGAGACAATGAATGTCTAACAGCTTCCCAGGGGATACTGATCTTGCAGATCCAGGGACCACACTTTGGGAACCACTGCTATAAGCCATCCTAAGGACGTAGGCCTTTGTTCTGAGGTGGCTAAAATATTTCTGAGGGTTAGAGCAGAGGAGCAACACAATGTGACTTCCTTTTCAGCAGGAAACTATTTGGGTTGAGAATAGACTGTAAGGGATGAAGAGTGGAGGCACAGTCGAGTTGTGAGATTATTGCAACAAAAAGTGCATAATGTGAAGGATCTACTAAAAAGTAGACATGAGCAAGTATGCGTTGCCTGTGACCCAGAGTATTTCGGGAGCAGAGAGGAGCAATTGGGTTTGTTCACAGAAAACTAATATGTAAATAAGAGATTTGACTTCCCTGGTGCCTTAAAAGCTTGGCATGCTTACAGAAGAACATTTATTTTATAGGCATTATATTGCTTCTGAGGCGCACTGGCTTCCCCTCCATGTGTCGCCAATTTAGCAATCAAGCTCATGTCACATCTTGAAATTTTTAATGGGCCCTGTAGGCATCCCCTGGAGTTGATTGCCTGGCTTGCTTTTGAAGGAAAAAAAAGGGTCTTTTCATTCCACCCTCACACCAACTCAGAATCCTGTGAATTTTAAGAGCTTTTGTTTGAGTAGCTAATGAGGACTCTAATGTGCATGCTCTGGTAAAGTTCTCACATCATTCACAGGGTGACCTTTAAGAAGGTCCTAAAATAGAATATATATTATCTTTTTATATAAAACCCAGTTTTCCAGTAAAAGAAATTCCCAAATATGAAGAATAAAGCAAAATACCAAGATTAATAATGACAGGAAAAGGGATATTTAGAAGAGAACAATGCATTCAAGCTTTTCGAAAGTATTTGATTTCTATTACCACATTTCCCTTTCATTCTGTGTGTACTCGCACCTTCCCATTGATCTATCATCTTGGCAATACGCTCATAAAATCTACTCAGACCCCTTCAAAAACATCATGGTTTTAGGTCTTGCCTGTTTGAAAGGAATTCAAAATTTTATAATTTGGGTTTTACAAATACCTTAGTTTTTCAAAAAAAAGGATATTTTGTTTAAATAACCAAAGTCTTCATGGAAGACATAGCTTAGGACCTTTCTACTTCAACATAAAAAGTGAAGCATCTTCCAAGTCTTACTTAGACCACTTCAGAGCAGACATACTGTATCGTTAGTGATGTGACTATAAGCAAAACTTAATTTCTCTAAGTTGATCTCATGGAGGTAGAGAGTAGAATGATAGATACCAGAGGCTGGGAAGGGTGTATGGGTGGGGGGTGAAAAACAGAGGCTGATTAATAGCTACAAATATATAGTTAGAAGGAGTAATTTTTAATGTTTGATAGCAGCATAGGGTGACTATAGTTAACAACGAAGTATTGTATATTTCAAAATAGCTAAAAGAGAATACTCAAAACATTCACAAAACATAGAAATGATAAATACTTGAAGTGATAAATACCCTACATACCCTGACTGGATCATTGTACAGTCTATGCATGTAAAGACATATCAAATATATCCTATAACAATGTACAAATATTGTGTTTCAGAAAAAAAAAAAAAAAACTTCTCTGTTTCTCAGTTTCCACATCAGTAAACTAAGGGAGTTCGGACCCTTCACTTTTATTTGGGTCAAGTCATGAAGGGCTCAGTAAATTCAAGAATTAACTAATTTAAATTGTACTATTTTGCCCTATATTTATTTTGGCTTTAAAAGAGGAAAGTTATTTTAATGCATGTCTTCTAGGATATTAACACTGAGATTAAAATTCAAATTCCTTTCGAGGCTAGGCTAGTAGCATCAATGAGTGAAGCAGGTAAAAGGCAAAGAAAACAAAGCCAAGGACCAAGAAGGTGCAAGCTAGGAGGGGGTAGTGGCAACCTCCAAATAATAAGCAACTGGTACTCAGCTCCACGCTGTGCTATGCATGCAATGCAAGAATAGAGACCCAGGTTTGTTACACAATCCATTTCAGAAGCTCAAAATACTCATTGTTGTTGTTGGTATTTAAAACACCTAGATTTCTTTTTTTCTTGAGATGGAGTCTTGCTCTGTCGTCCGGAGCTAGAGTGCAATGATGCAATCTCAGCTCACTGCAACCTCCACCTCCCAGGTTCAAGCACTTCTCCTGCCTCAGCTTCCCACGTAGCTGGGACTACAGACTCGCGCCACCACGCCCAGCTAATTTTTGTATTTTTAGTAGAGATGGGGTTTTACCATGTTGGCCTGGCTGGTCTCGAACTCCTGACCTTGTGATCCACCTGCCTCGGCCTCCCAAAGTGCTAGGATTACAGGTGTGAGCCACCGCGCCCAGCCTAAAACACCTGGATCTTTAAATCACAAGCAATTCAAATGTGAAACCTTGTTATCACTATGTGGACCAAATCAACATGTCTTCTAGCTGAATCCAACCTGAAAGCTATTAGTTTGCATGATTAAAGTCATATTGGTTAAGATTTATCCCTTCAGGGATTATTGTTGCATGCTAAATGTCCATAAGGAGAGTATCAGGTCACATGAGTCCTCATCTTAATTAGTTTTCTTTCTGAAAAATAACTATTAGGTTGGTGCAAAAGTTATTGCGGTTTTTGCCATTACTTTCAATGGCAAAAACCGCAATAATTTTTGCAGCAACCTGATACTAACCTTATGCATGCCCCTACAAGAAAAAAGTTAAGTGTTTATAATAGACCAAGACAGACAGACAGAAAGACAGGCATGGGATATGCTGTAATGCTAATAAAACAACACAAACTGGTTTTCCTGACGGGCCTTAGACAACTGCAATTTGACCTTTTAAACTCTAAATCAAGATACTCTTTATTTCTGATCACTTGCATTGAAATGATGAACAGAAGTGGTCATGAATCACAAGAGTTGTCCCAATGCCCTAAACTAAAAAATAGACAAGTGAGGATATAATTGACACTATAAATAGGATTTTTTTTTCTTCCATGGAAAGATTAAAAGGATTAAGTAGTAAGCACCCTTAGGATATCTAAGTGGCCTTTTTTCTTTTTGTTTTTGTTTTACTAACAATACATTTGACATGCAGAGGCCCATAAATAATTTCAAGGGACAGTATTTAGGTTTATGGATGGGCTATATAAATAAAATTAGACTTCTGTCAGCTTGTCTACTGTTACTGCATCACATGAAAAATGTCTGGATGAATTTTCACCAATTTTGGAGAGAATATATGTGATGATTTGAGTGATAATATAGGTTATGTTCTTCATATCAAGTTGGATTCCTTCACAAAGATCTGAAAGTCTAGAGTAATTTATTTGAGAGATAATTCTGGGTGGCAGGAAGGAAGGAAGGAGAAAAAGCCAAGACAGCTGCATCACTGAACTGGTGATGACTATAAGCAACTAGGCTCATTCCCACTGGGGAATGTCTAAAACCATAACGAACGTGTTTCAGAATGGTCCCTTCAAAAGCCAGAGAGACTGGGACATTTATCCATAGACTCTCATCCTCCAGTGATTGGGATTCACCCTGGGTATTATCTTCTTTGCATATGAACACTACTCATGGCTTGGGAAGAAGTCTTGAGGCAGAAGAGCAGAAAGATACTGGGGGCATTTGATGTGGGATGACCTTACCATCATAGGAACCCTCCATCACATCAGCAGCTGGTGTGTAATCCAGGTAGACCACATACACACACAAATAAAATCTGCTAAATTATGTATGTAAAATTGAAGGTCATCACTGAGAAAGGACGCTATTCTTCAAAGCATGAGAACTTAGGTACAAAGAGAAATCTATGCCTTTTCAACTGAGAGAGAAAAGCTATCATCACCATATCATGACAGCCAGCACTGTTGGGCGCTGACGTTGAGCAACACTGTACCGTGTGTTTTGCGTGCATCCTTCATTGGGTCTTGCCACCACTTAATGCCACAGGCAATATTTTTATCCCCATTTTATGACAATCAAACTAATGATTGGACAGATTAAGTCATAACACTTTACTATACCAAGAGAACTAACACTATGTTCCAAATACATGCTCAAACAAAAAGTCATAGAGAAGACACCTTGAATCTCAGGCATTGATTTGCCACAAGCTGCTTCATACGTGGGCAACCCTAGAGAATATTCCTGGACCAGTAGCCTTAAGGATATACTTATTTCATTATGGTTTATGATTCTCTCCCCACCCCCACCCCCACCAATTCTTCAACTCCTTTATTTAACATATAATGACAACAGAAAAGGAGAACAATCTCAATGTAGTAAGAAAAAAATAAGTGTACTTTTTCAGGATTAGAGAGGGTCCAAATGAAAAATCTGCTTTCTCAGCAGAAATACACATACAATTATCTCATTTAGTGCTGCCAACTAAAGAACTATTTGGATATAACACTATACTTTTCAGAAATATTTTACATTAAATTTATACATACATACATAAGTCTTTCACCATATACTGGCTTTATGATTCTCTTAAACAATGATCAGTACACCAGCAAGTCACAAATAAAAAATTTTCTGAAAATCGAATTAAATTCCCTGGGTAAACAAAACTCAAGTTAGAAAGGTCTAATGGCTATTGAACTTTCAAGAAACACACCTACTCTATGTCACAAGATCCACTCATAAAAAACAAGTGTTTGTGGACATGTATCTGAAAAGAAATTCACATTAAAGGGAATTATTTCTTAAAAGAGAATTTTTCTCTCCTGCTAGGTGTCACCATTGCAGGGCTCTAAAACAGAGGCAGGTGTTTGCAATTCATGACTTCAGAACCACTTGGACACCAAAGATGTGTGTGCCTCATGCAGAGACTTCACTTCTCTTTCGTGGTAACTAATGACTCCCGTACCCTCTGCTCTCTCAGCTTCCAATAAAGGTTTTGAATACCAAGGTAGAGAGAATGGAGAAACAAGAAGAGAATGGAAAAGAAACTGCCGAAAAATAATGGCTAAAGTTATATAGTGTCACAACAAGCATTTTTATTCTAATTTATTTAATTTTGTTTAGGCAGGCTAAGTGGGTAAATGTTGTGGGTGTGGTAAAAGGAGTCCTGGTAGGTGAAATTACATGAAATCTTCTTAATGATGCCAACCAAACTGTTAAAAACTGATACCTGGCAATTAAAATATTTATCCACCTAGATTATTACTACTTTCTTCTCTGCTCTTGGTATATGTCTCCGTGATTTGAGTTTCAGTTATGGCTTAACTAAAGAGGTTTTGTGAAACTGTTTTCAATTTCATTCTATTAGTTAAGTAGCTAAGTTAATTTTCTAAGATATAAAATCATACTGAGAAACTGACATATACGCTGTCGCAAAAATCTTTTCTGTTACTTAAAACTACAAAAGTATTGAATAAAATAGAAGAGAAAGGAAAAGTAGACAGCTAGAAATTGTAGACATAAATGCCGATGGACTTGGATGTGATATAAGCTTTGGCTTATAGGAGGTTTAGGGTCAAGTCTACGGCCTCTTTCTAGCAACTATACCAGACTTTAAAGTCTATAGGTCTGTGATTAAATTTAACCCAGGAACGTAATAGTTTTTTCTAACCTTATACCAAACTCCCTCTAATATTTATGTAATTATTCTGTACCTTACGTGTTTTTAGAAGCTGCTTTAAACTCTCATGCTCATTGAAATAACAAAGCTTGTGAGGAAAATTAAACCCAGGGCATTCAGTCACACTCCTATCATTTCCAGCCCTACCCTTTTTTTATTTTTCCTGGTAGCACTTAAAAGTAATCATCTAACAGTATATTACATGTCAATTTATTTATGAGTGTTTATTTATGAGTGTTGTCTGTTTCTTCAACAGAAGAAGGTAAATACCACTGAGTCAGAGACATTATCTAACATGGCCAGTATTGCATCCTTAGTACCCAGAACAAAGTCTAGCCCTAATAGGACCTCAGTAGAGATTTGCTGAATGAACCTGGTGATCTGAGTTCACAGAAAAGGTTATTGATCAATTGATCCACAGAGCTCAGCCAGTTAACTCCCTCCTCTGTGCTCTTTTGACTCCTGTTAAATTTTCCAAAGCGTTCAAATGGAATAATTTTTAAGTTTGGCAATCTCCTAAGTTTAGACGGAAATCCATTCTATATACACAAATGTTCCCTGTTTGAATAACAATATAATTCTTCCCACTTGTTTTAAGTGATTCTAAAAGGAGGAAATTATTGGCTTTACAAGAATTTTGTAATTGGAAATGTGGGTACATTTTAGCAAAAGCTAATGGATACATACTTATTTTTCTGTGGAGCTGTATTTCTATAGTGCCTTGAAAGGAACTCTTATTAAACTTTTAAGGATATTCAAAACAAGCTTTCTTTTATGTTACTAAGGAAAATTAACATACTGTTTGTAGCCTTATACCAACTTCAGTTACATCGCTCTTAAATCATCATTTATATACTCTTAGTGTTCAGCAAAGAACAAAATATGAGTCCCATAGAATTTGTGGTTTGTTTTAAGGACGCATGAGAGTACAATTGAGAACCATGCAATTCATAACAAATTCAATCTAGACAAGACAGTATACTATTAAATGAAGCGCCACCTATTTCTTCTTTCCCACAAGAGGCTGAAGAACGGAAATCATTCACTCAAATATGAAATTCATGAAACACTTTAATTCTATGACAGCCATACACCAAGGAACAGAAAAAAATCGTTTCATCTCATAATGTTTTAGAGACCTCAGGCAAATGTAAACAGTAGATGCTGTTAGACATTAAGGATTCATTATGAGTACTAAACAGCTAAACTGAAAGTCTACTGGTTTATTTGAAATTTCATGAGATTCTAGTAGAAGATTTATTAAATTATTTACCAAACTTCAGTGGGAAAGATTACCATTTATTTGGTCTGAATATAATGCTGATAGGCTTATTTCTTTCACAATGTGGTTTATATTAAGTGATAAAATATGTGGTAAAATAACATCTAGCGTCTACCATTAACTCACCAGTCATGATTCATTTAAACGGAAGACAGCAATTCTTCTACAAGCTGACTCCTGGTGATTAAACATTCCCATGATTTTGTAATAAGATTTACCTTCTTTCAGTGAGACATGTCTGGGTCCCAGAGACCAAAGTTTAGTATTTATACACAGAAAATGGTCCTCTTTTGAGGAAACTATCTACATAATTCCATCATAGCTGGTTCCATGTAATTCATCTTCAAATCTTTCTGAACATACAGCACAAGTACTGGATATTATTCTTCTCTTAAGTGAGTGTGTTCTTGCTAAATACTTACATCCATGAATTACATATAGTTATATGCATATATACGTATGTGTATATATGTGTATATACACATACCCATATATTGTGAGCATCAGTAGGCATCCAAGATATGATGTGTATCTGTGTGCACACAGATATTGTGGGCATCTATACACATGCCAAAATGGAAGTGGAGAACTAGAATTAAGCCAGGTAATTCTGAATAATAGAAATTTCATGGAGAGGCTGGAAGGAACAATACCAGTGATGACACACAACTATCATGCAGAAGAAGGATCTAGCAGCGTTGTTGCAAGATTGTAAAATAACCAAAGTCTCAAGAGGACAGACGACAAAACTTACTTTATCTCAGATAAATGTGCTTCCTGCTGAAGAATGCCCCTTAGGTGATAATTGAGTCCAATAAAATGGTAAGTTATAGAAATGAGAACAATGCTAGTCTAAAGCAGGACCTGTGACTACCAAGACTTGATGACAGAGGACCTGGGAAGAAAAGAATGGGGAAAAGTTGAACACAGAGAAGACAGCACAAAGAGATTGTGACTTTGAGATGAAGGATGACTGCCTCCAGGTTCTGATAAATGGAAAAGGAAGGCAGAAGAGAGTGTGAAAGTTAGAGGGAGAGATTTGAAGATGCTATTCTGCTGGCCTTTAAGGTGGAGGAAGGGGCCAGAAGACATGGAATGCAGGCAGCCTCCAGAAGCTGGCAACCTCAAGGAAATAGATTATCCTCTGAAGCCTCCAGGAGGAACGTAGCCCTGTTGGCATCTTGATTTTTAGCCCAGTGAGACTTCTGGTATACAGAACTGTAATAGAACCAGTCCTTTTTTTATACCACTAAATTTGGGGTAATTTGTTACAGTAACAACAGGAAATTAATATACTCATTCTTACCAGGAGTGGCCTTTTTTCATGTGAATTTTCTGGAACTATATTATCCAGTAATTTAGAAACAATATTTGGGTTTGAATAAACTTCGTTCATCTTCCATTTTACCTCTATCTCCCTCAGTTTAGGGTTGGGTGATTTATATGTTTGTGAGTGTTTTATTTTCCAGCAAGAAAGATCCAAGGAATTCATATCATTTCCAAATCAAATTTCACTGTTCAAAACATTAAGCCCCATAGATCTCATACTACTTTAGGTAAATTACTTAAGACAAACTTTAAAACAGCTTAATAATAAATAAGAAATCATTTTTTTCATTCAATGAACAAGCAATTACATAATTTCAACTTTCTTTTACCCAATTTTAAAGTTATTTTAATTTATTAATACTGGTTCTGTCAGAATAAAGACTCTTAAATGTGTTTGATAACTTGATGATTCTGTTGTGAGAGAAAAGTTAATCTCTGATATCTCTAGACAGAGAAGAAGCACAGAGTCATTTTTACAGTCCATTTCACATACTCTCCCTGTTTGCTCCTTAAATCAATTGACATGTCCCTCAAGGAAGAGTGTCTATATATTTTGTCCGTCATAACTCAGTTAATTCCTCATCCTTTATGTTTATTCCCACTGAAACTGAACACATCAAGGGCCTCCCTGGGGTCTTTGCTCTGGGCTTTATAACCATGAAATGGGCTGCCTCCTTTCCTTCTTGGCATTTGCTACCAACGAGAGTCTAGATCTGACAGACGCCTTAAATTCACATTCATCCAAGACTAACCAAAAGAGAGGCTGAACGGTTACTTTGTAATTCCCTTACTGTATCACTTTACTTTAAAAACAAAACAAAACTAGTAAGAAAAACAGCAAAAACACAGTGTGAAGCCCACAACTTTGGAATCAAACTCCAGTTTATACCCCAACTCTTAGCCTGCCTGATGTGCAACCTTAGACAACTAACCCAATCCCTTCCAGTTTCCATTTTCCCACTCGTGTCATGCAAGAAGAAGCAGTATTTCTCTTAATCACTTGTTATGGGGACTAAATGAGATACTGTCTTCAAAGCTTGTATATAGTGCTGGCTGATGGCAATTGCTTGATAAAATGCCACTATCACTCTTCCATCTCTTAAATAACTATTTTAGAACAAGACCTGTTACTTAACTTCTTTGGGTGGCATCTTTTTCATCTGTTAAGTAAGGAAGTTTGACTAGATAATACTGTATTATTTCCCCTTCAGTGGTACAATTTTGCAATACTAAGAACAATAGAAATATAAAGTGCATAGTTGTAAAATTGAAGGGATAGTTAGGTGAAAGGATACAGAAAGAGAGAATTGCATTGAAATATGTTTCTACAACTCTCTTTAAACATTTTTTTTATTTGTCCACAGTTTATTTAACAGACCCCTATGGGACTACCTACTCTGTCAGGTGTTATTCTAGGCTCAGAGGATTCAACAAGAAGCAAAACAAAGATCCTGCCCTCAGGCAGCTTACATTCTGGTGGGCAGACCAATGACAAACAAATGTATAGAAACATGTCAGGTGGGGGAAAGGGCTGTGATGTTGGATAAGGCAGGTAGAGGAGAGTGACTGATGGGATGGAGAGAATATTATTTTATTTTTTAGTGATACATATTTATACCTATTTATGGGGTCCATGTGATAATTTGTTACATGCATATGTGCAATGTTCAACTCAGAGGATTTAGGGAAAGCATCAGAGGATTTAGGGCAAGCATCACTTCAAATATTTATTATTTCTATGTTACAACTATCTTTTATTAATAATCACTCCCATATTAGCTATTAAGTTCTATTGTGGCCATAGATCATTTGGAAATATATTGATCTGTGAGGTATCTCCAATCAAATTTTATAATAAAATAAAAGCTAGTATTTGTTGTTTATTCGATGGCAAACACTGTTCTGTGTGTTTTATGCTTATTAACTCATCTGATCCTTGAAAGACTCTAATACGCACACATAGGCACACAGTACATGGGGAAACTCAAGCAGAATTTCCCAGTGTAATTATTCAATAAAATTTTACTTTAAGTGCTCTCCCTGCAGGATAAAATTGACTTGTGCTATGCCCTCTCCCTCTGCCTTTATACTTTGTCCTTTTCTTTTTCTTAAGAATACACTTGAAATTCTAACTTGAAAGTAATTTTGAATATCTAAAAAGGTCTTATAAATTTTTTTAAGTTATGTGTTTAGCATAACAGGGTCTAGATTAAAGTGTCAAGTGCCAAATATAGGAAATAAACAGATGATTATGTGATAATGAGGCTTAAGTACTGGCAGAAAAGTTTCAATCATTTTGAAAGGGAAAACATATTAAATAAAGAGTAAAATCAGGAACTATGCCCAAGAAAGATTAAAAACTCTAGGGCAGAGCTGTCCAATAAAAACAGAATGTGAGGCATGCATGTGAACCATGTATATTATTCCATATTCTCTAGTAACCCATATTATAAGAATGTTTAAAAACAGATAAAATTAGTTATAATGGTATGTTAAACACATTACATCCAAAATATTTTCATTTCCATGTATAATGAATATTAAAAATTATTAATGAGATATTTTACATTCCTTTTTAAAAATTAATTGCTTGGCTGGGCATGGTGGTTCACACCTGTGAACCTGTAATCCTAGCACTTTGGGAGGCAGAGGTGGGCAGATCACTTGAGGCCAGGAGTTCCAGACCAGCTTGGCCAACATGGTGAAATCTCATCTCTACTAAAAATACAAAAATTAGCTAGATGTGGTGTCATGCGCCTATAGTCCCAGCTACTTGGGAGGCTGAAGCAGGAGAATCACTTGAACTTAGGAGGCAGAGGTTGAAGTGAGCCAAGATCTCACCACAGCACTCCAGCCTGGGCAACAGAATGAGACTCCATCTCAAAAAATAAATAAAATAAGTTAATTTATAATTGAGAAATAAAAATTGTATGTTAATTCTGTACAACATGATGTTTTGAAATGTTTGTATATATTATGGAATGGCTAAATCATACTAATTAACATAAGCATTACCTCACATACTTATTTTTTGTGGTGAGAACACAAAATCTACTATCTCAGTGATTTTCAAAGATGAAATATATTGCTATTAACTGTAGTCACCATGTTATACAACAGATCTCTTGAACTTATTCCTCCTATCTTACTGGAACTTTTTGTCTTTTAATCAACATCCCCGTAATCTCACCCTCCAACCTGGTGACCACCATTCTACTGTCTGCTTCTATGAGCTCAACTTTTTTAGATTTCATATACAAGTGAGATCATGTGATATTTGTCTTTCTGTGCTAGGTTATTTCACTTAACCTAATGTCCTCCAGGTTCATTTATGTTGTCACAGATGACAGAATTTCCTTCTTTTGTATGGTTGAAGAGTATTCCATTGTGTATGTGTACCACATTTTCTTTAGCCATTCATCCACTGATAGACACTTAGGTTGATTCCATACTTTGGCTATTGTGAAAAATGCTTTGATGAACATGGGAGTGCAGGTATCTCTTTGGCATGCTGATTTCATTTCCTTTGGATGTATACCCAGTAGTGCGATTGCTGTATAATATGATAGTTCTATTTTTAAGTTTTTGAGAAACCTCCATATTGTTTTCCATAAGTGCTATAGTAATTTACATTATCAACAACAGTATGCAAGGGTTTCCTTTTCTTTACAACCTCACCACCGCTTCTTAACTTTTGCCATTTTGATAATAGCCATTCTAACAGTTGTGATTTTGATTTGCATTTCTCTGGTGATTAGTGATGTTGAATATTTTTTCATATACTTTTTGGCCACTTGTATGTCTCCTTTTGAGAAATGACTATTCAGGTCCCTTGTCCATTTTAATCAGATTATTTGTTTGCTTGCTATTGAGTTGCTTAAGTTCCTTACATATTTTGGATATTAGCTCATTATCAGACACATGGTTTACAAATGTATTCTCCCATTCCATGGATTTTCACTTCCTCTGTTGATTGTTTTCTTTGCTGTACAGAAGATTTGTAGTACATTCTTCTTCTTATACTAAGTTTTTGAAATCCAGTATGTATTTGATACTTACACCACATCTCAATTCAGACTACTCACATTTCAAATGCTCAACAGCCACATGTAATTAGTGACTACCATGTTGGATAGCAAAAATCTAGGTATAGCAAAACTGTGACTAATGCCTAAGATACAACAATAGGTTAATCCATGAAAATCATAGATTTACTTCTCTTTTGAGACTCAAGAATTGTTTCAATGAGGTATCTCCAGTTTGTATAGAAAGTAATGCTTGTTACAGGTGATAAGTTTGGGTTCCACAAGCGTTGGGATTGCACAAGGGAGGAAAGGAATACTTGGCAGAGACAGAAGGCCTAGGATCAAGCCTTAGTTTGCATAAGTCACTTAAAATTCATATATCTCATTTTCTCCAAATTGTCCTGTCTTCTCTCCACTGTTGTTTTGAGGATTAAATAAAATATTTTCATTGAATTTGTAGAGAAGGATGTGACATAAGGAATGGTAACTATAATTGCTATTGAGTTAATGTTGATGATGATTATATTGTCAGCATTGTTGCTCTTTTTGAACTAAAATCTATATTAAAAACATTTCTATAGGAAAAGATTTCTAAAAAATAGGACTTTGCCTAAATAAGTAAATTATAAAATGATTAAAAGTAGAATCACCAACAGTTACATAATATTAAATTTGGCTGGACACGGTGTCTCACACGTGTAATCCCAGCACTTTAGAAGGCCAAGGTGGGCAGATCACCTGAGATCAGGAGTTCGAGACCAGCCTGGCCAACATGGTGAAACCCCATCTCTATTAAAAATACAAAAGTTAGCCAGGCATGGTGGTACATGCCTGTCCCAGCTATCTGGGAGGCTGAGCCAGGAGAATCCCTTGAACCCAGGAGGCAGAGGTTGCAGTGAGCTGAGATCGTGCCACTGCACTACAGCCTGGGTGACAGAGCAAGACTCCGTCTCAAAATATAATGATAATAATAATAATAATTATTATTATTATTAAATTTGCTTAATGGTTTCTTTTTATTTCACTTAGTCACCAAAATCAGATCTTTGGTTCTAAAAAATTGTCAAGAGATAAAGGAGATAAGCATGAAGAACATAGGTTTATATTTCCAGGAGGTATAAAAAAATATATACAAGGAAAAAGTTGTGTTAACTATATTATCATAGTAAATCATTATATCAACATTTGTGTTAAAAAACAGATAGATAAGAAAACATTTTATCAGGAAATTGTTAGAAGAAACAGGTGAATTAATTAGTTACTGTCATTAGTTGGATTAATAACAATTCATTTATTCTAGACTGGTTTATCACAAATACAAAGTGTTCTTCCAAGTAAGAATATATGATTTTATGTTAGAATATGCTAGAAAGTGTTTAAAGAATTTTGGAAAAGCATACAGCTAAAGAAGTAAATTGTAGTTAGCATTCATTCTTGGTGAGAGTAAAGTCAGGCATAGGTTCATGAGAGAAAAATCTGAATTAACTAGTTTTTTAAAAGCTTTTTAAAAAGCTTTATCTTTATTAGTCAAGGTAAAGCAGAGAGTATATATTGTTGATTTAAAACAACATCAATGTTTTATAGTATCCAGTTTATAGGTCTTTCATCTCAGTTAAATTTATTTTGAAGTCTTTTTGATACTATCATAAATGGGAGTGATGGGAGTGTTTCTTGATTTCTTTTTCAGGTAGGTTGATATTTGCAAATAGAAATGTCATGGATTTTTTTGTATGTTGATTTTATGTTTCACAACTTTAATGAATTCATTTATTAGATATAGAAGTTTTTTGGTGGAGTCTTTGGGGTTTTCTATATATAGGATCATGTCATCTGCAAATAGAGACAATTTTACTTTTTCTTTTCCAATTTAGATATCCTTCATTTATTTTTCTTGTCTAATTGCTCCTGATAGTGCTTCTAGTACTATGTTGAAAAGAAGTTGTGAAAATTAAGAATGTCTCCAGAGATTGCCTAATGTCCCCCAGTTGAGGGTGGAGGCAGCACCCCTAGTCAAGAACCCCACTCAAGATTGACTGGAAAGTGAGTTGTGCTGTTGTTGTTGTTGTTGTTGTTGTTGTTTGATGGAGGGGAAAGGATTCAAAACTGAAAAAAATACACCCAACCAAGCGATGATTTTGGAAGCAAGTTTTCCAAGCATGGTAAACAGCAAATGCTACACTAGATAATGAACTTGGAAAGTCCAAAGAACATACAAAGGATTTGTGTGACTGAAGAACACAAATGAAGAAGGAAATAGAATCAGAGAGGCAGAAAAAGACTTTCAGGTCATGACAGAGAGCTTAGATTTATTCTTTTTAAAGTGTGATGAGAGGTTTCAATAAAAGAGAGAATTTCTGATTAGCTGTGAAGCAAGAAATGTTCTGACTAGACCTTTAAATATGGATAGGCCTGGATTTTTACAGCCTGGGGTGAAAGATAGAAGTATTGCAGGAATGGATAAGGGATTGGAGTTGATAAATTCTGGCTGGGCTGGCACCAGGGCTGTGCGGAAATGGGTTTTTGGAATTGTCAGAAATGTAGCCTAATGCTGGAAAAAGGGATATCTTCTACTCCAACCACTACTGGGATGACAACTTGGAGAAGCTCTCTCAAGGAGAGTGTGTTCTGGGCAACACACTGGCAGCAGCTGTGAGCCGTGGTGCCCACTGTGAGTATATGGACTCTGGCTCAGCTCCAAACATGCCCCTTTAGGGAGAAAGGGCCCAAAGCCAAGGGCAGGTGGAGCAACCCAACACGAGCCAGAGACTGACAACCCAGGGACTGGCAACTAACAGCACAAAGATGTCAGTGACTTGAGTTTAAAATATTCTTGTTAGAGGTTTACAGAGTCAACACCTTCAGACCAATGGAGACAAAGATAACAGACTTTGGGTCTTTATTCTAACTCCCTTGCTGTTGTTTTGTCACTATGGAATCGGCGTGTTCAAGGCATTCTTCTAAGGGCTTGCCATCCATATCCATTTTCTCACTTTATCTTATGAATGATCCTATGGGGTGGATTCTCTTATTTTTCAGCATTTTTTAAAATAACACACTAGAGACTAAAATTGTTCCGTTTCTTGCGCATGCAATCTGAAACCTCAAAAATCTGATTTAAGCACAACTTCTTTAACCATCACATAATACTCAGATAAAGCAATAAACACACTATAGCGCTCTGATGAAGCAATGACAAAAATGAAATCACCTGCCAAAAATCATGTCCAGCTAATTCCTAATAATTTGAGGAACAATTACTACTAAATTGCTAGGATTTGACCTTCAACTATACCAGCTGTTTTTCTAAGCACTGTATATGAATTGCCTAGTTTAATCCTCATAAAAACCTACGAGAAAAGTCTTATTAATTGTCCCAATTTATAGATGAGAAACTTGAGGTTTAGAAATCTGAAGCATCTTGTCCAAAGTCACACAACCAGTAGGTGGTGGAATTGAGATTATAACCCAGACAGACAAATACCCAGTGCTTTACTCCGATGCTAAATTATTGAACCCAGTTTTCTCCCAAAGAGGAAGTGTTCAGAAACTCACAGCTTTATTTGATAAAAATAAAGTGTATTATTAAAAATCTAGGCAACTATTTAAAAGAATTTTACACACAAGGACATCTTGTGTCATAAACCGAGGCAATACTTTGGAAAGCTTCCCTTATGTTCTTACTGGTTGTGCAGAAGTTTTAAAGAAAACACATTAAATTCATTTGTCAATTTATTTCACATGATATCTGAATTTACAAACGAGTCTATGGAAACAGGCCTTGGTTTCTTGATTCTGTAATCTTGTATTAATGCATTGGATAGTTTGGGTTCAGATATTTCCAAGTACCTTAGATAAGGATCTGTCCCTACTTCATCTGCTCCCCAACCTTCGAATCTTCTAACCAAAAACAGTTTGAGAAACCAGCAAAGACTAAGAGTTCCAGAAGCCACTGTCAATGTTTTAGAATTTGTGTATTTGTATGAGTTCCAGTGTCTGACAGAGGAATGACAGAATGCCGCTATGTATGTGGTAGCACATTTCCTGTGACACCAGGGTCACATAAGAGACTGGCCCAACCTGTTGCTGACCCAATTCATTGAAAATTGTCTATTCTTGAGAAAGAAAATTGTGAGCATTAAGAGGCATCCATGAGGCAGTGAAAGTAAGCCAGGGTTTGGCATTAGAAGTTGTAGATTTGAGTCCTTTTGTACTGTACAAGCTTTGTGGCCTTTGTCAAGTCACTATAACTGCTGAAAGATTAGGGCTTTTTATTACACAGGAGGCAGCATAATCCTGACCATGGCTATCGGGAAGATTGAAGTGCAGATCAATAGGACAATACGTGAATGAGTGGTTTATGGACTGTACAATGTTCTAACAACAAAAAGAGGCATTCATAATATTGATGTGGAACATCCAGTTACACAACTGACTCCACTAAACTAGGGATAGCGTGTCTCTCCTCTGTGCTCAGGTCTTTTTCACAATGGCAGTGTGTGCTGAAGCAGAGCTGATACAACCCAGTGTGTTCTGGAGATATAGGAGGGATGAAGCTGATGTGAGTAAGCCATTTATGCTTGTGGCAGTTGCTCAAGATAGAAATGGAAAGTTCTCCATGTTTTAAGGCATTAAACAATCAGTTTATTTACAACCAGTGGGCATGAGATAAACATTGCAGACCCAAGAGCAACTATCTTTGTTATCTTTAATATAAATAATAATTATTATAACAATAATAGCAGCTCATGTATTGGTCAACTACTTTTATAAACAAAATGCTCTAAGACTCATAGGCTTAACACAATTATTTATTCTCAATTCTTCAACCAGCATGTCAGCTGGGGATTTGTCAATTGAGTCTGGGCTCAGGCAGGCAGCTCTGTTTCAAACTGCAAGCTCACTTGGGCTTAGATCCTCAGTGCGGGCTGGGCTCATGTGTGTTCATTCTAGAACCCAGGCAAAAGGGGCAGCAGCTACCTGGGAGCAAGGCCTTTTCAGGGCAATGACAGATGGGCAAGACAGCACTTGCCTAAGTACATTTCAGGCCTCTGTCTAATCTAAATACATCACATTCACTAGGTGCTTACTGCATGTTCAAGCAATTGTTATGAAGAACTTTATCCCCATTGTTTTATATGATTTTCATAACAACCCTGTAAAGCAAGGTCCATTTTTATCCTAGTTTTATAGATGAGAAAACCAAAGCAAAGAGAAATTAAGAAAATTTACCAATATCCCACAGTTAGTCAATGGTCGAGTCCAGATTTGAGCACAAGTTTTGTCAGTACATTCTATTGACGACTTAAATCCTTGTTCATCAATACTGCAATTAAAATGGGGCTAGTTTCAGAGTGTTGAATATATCTGGGTTCCCATATCATGACATTTAAAATATATTTTTTATTTATATCATGGAATATTTGCTATACACAACCATTCATAGCACACATCCACATGGTAATGCCTAATAAAAGAAGCACATAAAAATCTACCACCAAAGAACTAGACTATTACCAATATCCTCACATGATCCTTCTCTGGCTCAGCTTCCTGACTCCTCCCTGAAGGTAACCACTATCTTGCATTTTATATTTGTCATTCTCTTGCTTTTTGTTAAGGATAGATTGATCATATATGTCTGTATCAAACAGTTTTGCTCAACTGTGCTGTCACTTGTATCTATAGTTAATTTATTTTTTATTAATGTGTAAAAATAGTACAGTTAATGAATATATCACAATACATCAGTTATCTTACCAATGAATGTTGGTTTGCTTTTATTGTTTTGCCATCATAAATAATGCTTCTATGAACAATCTCACTAGTAATGCATGAGATTTCCCATTATGCTAAATCTTCAGCCATCCTTGTTATTGTCAGACCCCATAATTTAAGGAAAGTAAAAAAATATTTTATTGTGTTCTTAATTTCCATTTCTCTGCTTACTACAAAGGCTTAGCACATTTTCATAAGGTAATTCATCATACATGTTTTCTCTTCTGTGAACTGCTTGTTGATGACCCTTGCCAATTTTCCTATTGCATTATCTTCCTTATTGAGTCATGTCAGTTATGTGTCTGTTTATACAGTATATTCACATAAATTTTTCATTATATATATAACATTAATATTCTCTCTCAGTTTATGGCTTGTCTTTTTATTCTCTTCATGGTAAATAGTGAAAGGATTTATCAATCTTTTCCTTAATGGTTGATATGGTTTGGCTCTGTGTCCCCACCCAAATCTCATCTTGAATTGTACTCCCATAATTCCCACATGTTGTGGGAGGGACCTAGTGGGAAATAATTTGAATCATGGGGGCAGTGTCCCCCATACTGTTCTCATGGTAGTGAATAAGTTTCATGAGACCTGACGGTTTTATCAGGACTTTCTGCTTTTTCATCTTCCTCATTTTCTCTTGCCGCTGTCATGTAAAAAGTGCATTTTTCCTCCCATCATAATTTTGACTCCTCCCCAGCCATGTGGAACTATAAGTCCAATTAAACCTCTTTTTCTTCCCAGTCTCGGGTATGTCTTTATTAGCAGCATAAAAACAAACTAGTACAATGCTTATACTAGTTTGAATAGTGTCCCCCCAAAATTCACGTCCACCAGAATCCGTGGATGTGACCTTATTTGGAATAGGGTTGATACAGGTCACACGGAATTAGGGTGGACCCCAAATCAAAACACTGTTGTTCTCTTATAAGAAGAGAGGAATTCAGACACAGAGACAGAGGAGACACAGGGAAGACAGCCATGTGACAAAGAAAGAAGACATTGGAATGGTGCAGCTGTAAGCCAAGGAATGCTAAAGACTGCCAGCAAACACCAGAAGCTGCAGAGGCAAGGAAGGACTTCCCTAGATATTCAGAGGGAGCATGAGCCTGCTGACACCATGACCTCTGACTTGCAGCCTCCAGAAATGTGAGAGAAGAAATTTCTATGTTGTAAGCCACCTAGTTTGTGGTAATTTGTTATAGCAGCCACAGAAAACAAATACAATGGTTAGGAATTTTTGTGCTGTAAAAATTTTTTACATCTTAAAGCTGTGAAGATACCCTGTATATTACCTTCTGAAGTTTTGAAGACTTGTCTTCACATTTAAATGTTTTTAATTTATCAGATACTGACTTTGCTTATGGATGTGAGGCAGGGATTTAATTTTATTGATTTTATTGTTTGGGTTTTTTTGTTTGTTTGTTTTGGGGTAATAAATTTTTCCAATACCGCTTACTAAAATGTTCATTTTTCTTTTATTAATTCACAAAGTAACCATCACATATTAAGGTGCCTTATAAGTGTGGGTTTCTTTTTAGGATCTTGAGTCTGTTTCAGTGGCCAATTTGCCTACCACACTACTCTGGGCAAATTATTGTAACTTTATTATAGTTGTTCTTATGTGGTAAAGCTAGACCTTTCACCTTCCTCCCTTTGTTTTGTTTTGTTTTGTTTTTTCAGGAGTCTCTTGACTATTCCTGGTCATTTGATCTTCCATTAAAATATAAAATCAGCTTATAAATCATTTCTTAAATGTCTGGATTGTGATTAAAAATTCATTTAATCTCTAGATCAACAGGGAAGAATTAATATCTTTACAGTATTAAGCCTTTGTATTCATAAAATAATAATTTTTATTGTTTATATTTTTAAATAAAGTAATAAAGTACTATATTTCTCCACGTTTTGCACATTTACTTCTAAATTTATTCCTAAGTACCATACATACTTTGCTGCTAATATAATATTACCTTCTCAAAATTATGTTTCATAAATTTTTGGTTAGTGTATATAAATGCAATTTTGGACTGCTGGTGTTACAACCATCCACCTCTCTACCCTCTATTATTTTGACATATATATAGATATATACATGTATATATATAGATATCTACATTTTATAGAAATACATATATATATATCTACCATATATATCTTATATATATGTATATATATATATAGAGAGAGAGAGAGAGAGAGAGATCTTTCAATTTTCTGTATGGACAATCACATGCCAAAAAAATGATAAAAGCATGGTGTTTTTCCTTTCCATATTTTACATTTTTTCCTCTTTCTTTCCATGCTGCACTGGCTGGGACCTGCACCATAATGTTGGATAGCAGTAGTAAAAATAAGCATCCTTGCCTTGTTTGAAGTTTTAAAGATAATGTTTTTAATGTTTTACTATTAAGAATTATGTTTACTGTAGGAGTTATTTGGTACTTTTTAATAGATTAAAGGAATTTCCTTTTATTCATAGTTTGCTAAAAGTTTCATCACAAATAAATGTGGAGTTTGTTAAGTGCTTGTCTGACATCTGTTGAAATCATGTTGTTTTCATCCTTAAATACATTAATGTGGAAATTACATGAATAAACTTTTTAACTCACTTGTGAATTTTTGGAATAAATTCAGCTTAGTTTTGGCACATTACCCTTTGTGCAGATTGCTGAACTTTATTTTTCTAAAACAGATTGCTGAATTTTATTTTTCTAATATTTGGGGTAATACCTTTGCATTTATATTTATGAGTAAGATCACTCCTTATTTCCATTTTGGATCATAGAATGAAATTATATGATAGTGTCCCTTTTTTGTATCTTGTGAAAGAATTTTTATAAAATTGCAATGATTTGTTCCATAAAGTTTTGTAGAATATCCTATAAAGCCATCAAAATCTGGTGTTTTCTTGGTTTGAAAAAAGAAATTTATAAAGCTAAGTTATACAAGGTTTGAATGATATAATTAATAAGCCTGAATCTATAGAAGACTATTTTTTGAAGTACATACATGTTTAGAGTTATGTCTTGTGCCTATCAACTAGATAAGCCACATTCTTCTTAAACCAATGTGATAATTTCATAAAATCTTACCATGATCTAGGCCAAAGACAAAGACTCAGCCCATTTTAAGGAATCAGCACTATTAAAAAGATTAACAAAACAGGCAATTCTAATGAGATGGATAACTGACAGAATTTTCAGTAAAGCATGAAGTTCTGTAAATCTCCTACTGTGATGTTAGATTTGTCAGTTTCTTTCTGTAGTTGTAGCAATTTTTGCTTTATATAGGTTGAGACTATTTTGTAAAGTACATACATATTTAGAATTATATCTTCCTAGTGAGTTGAGATTTACTTTTAGTAAATGATTTTTGTGTCTAATAATATTTTAAATTAAAAAAATTCAGATACATAGTAAGTGTATACATGAGTTATTTTGATACAGTCATTCAGTACATAAAAATTACATCAGGGCAAATGGGGGTATCCATCAACTTGAGCATTGATCCTTTGTGTGACAAACAATCCTGTTATACTCTTTTAGTTATTTTTAAATATATAATTAAATTATTATTGACTATAGTCATGCTGTTGTGCTATCAAATATGAGATCTTATTCATTCTTTCTAACTATGTTTTTGTAACCATTAACCATCCCCATTCCCCCCACCAAGCACCACCACTACCTTTCCCAGGCACTGGGAATCATCCCTTTACTCCCTATCTCCATGAGTTCAATTATTTTAATTTTTACCTCCCACAATAAGTGAGAGTATGCAAAGTTTGCCTTTCCATGCCTGGCCTATTTCATTTAACGTAATGACCTCCAGTCCCATCCACATTGATGCAAATGACAGGATCGGATTGTTTTTGTGTGTTTGTTTTTATTTTACTTTAAGTTCCGGATACGTATGTAGAACATACAGGTTTATTACATTGGTATATATGTGCTATGGTGGTTTGCTGCATCTATCAACCCATCATCTAGGTTTTAAGCCCTGCATGCATTAGCTATTTGTCCTAATGCTCTACTTCCCCTTGCTCTCCACCCCCTGACAGGCCCTGGTGTTTGTTGTTCCCCTCCCTGTGTCCATGTGTTCTCTGTTCAACTCCCACTTATGAGTGAGAACATGAGGTTCCTGGTCTTCTGTGCCTGTATTAGTTTGCTGAGGATGATGGCCTCCAGCTTCATCCATGTCCCTGCAAAGGACATGAGCTCATTCTTCTTTATGGCTATATAGTATTCCATGGTGTATATGTGCCACATTTTCTTTATCCAGTCTATAATTGATGGGCATTTGGGTTGGTTCCATGTCTTTGCTATTGTAAACAGTGCTGCAATGAACGTACATGTGCATGTGTCTTCATAGTAGAATGATTTATATTCCTTTGGGTAGATACCCAGTAATGGGATTGCTGGGTCAAATGGTATTTCTGGTTCTAGATCCTTGAGGAATCACCACATTGTCTTCCACAATGGTTGAACTAATTTACACTCCCACCAACAGTGTAAAACCATTCTCCACAGCCTTGCCAGCATCTATTGTTTCTTGACTTTTTAATAATCGCATTTTGACTGGTGTGAGATGGTATCTCACTGTGGTTTTGATTTGCATTTCTTTAGTGATCAGTGATGTTGAGCTTTTTTTTCATGTTTGTTGGCTGGATAAATGTCTCCTTTTGAGAAGTTTCTGTTCATATCCTTTGCCCTCTTTTTGATGGGGTTGCTTTTTTCTTGTAAATTTGTTTAAGTTCCTTGTAGAATCTGGATATTAGACCTTTGTCAGATGGGTAGATTGCAAACATTTTCTCCCATTCTGTATGTTGCCTGATCACTCTGATGCTAGTTTCTTGGCTGTGCAGAAGCTCTTTAGTTTAATTATATCCCATTTGTTAATTTTGGCTTTTGTTGCAATTGCTTTTAGGGTTTTCATCATGAAGTCTTTGCCCATGCCTATATCCTGAATGGTATTGTCTAGGTTTTCTTCTAGGGTTTTTATGGTTTTGGGTTTTACATTTAAGTCTTTAATATATCTTGTGTTAATTTTTATATAAGATGTAAGAAAGGGGTCTACTTTCAGTTTTCTGTGTATGGCTACCTCATTTTCCCAGCACCACTTATTAAATAGGGAATCCTTTCCCCATTCCTTGTTTTTGTCAGGCTTGTTGAAGATCAGATAGTTGTAGATATGTGATGCTGTTTCTGAGGTCTCTGTTCTGTTCCATTGGTCTATATGCCTGTTCTGGTACCAGTACCATGCTGTTTTGGTTACTGTAGCCTAGTAGTATAGTTTGAAATCAGGTTGAGTGATGCCTGCAGCTTTGTTCTTTTTGCTTAGAATTGTCTTAGCTATCGTATTGTTTTTTATGACTGAATAGTACTCCATTACTGATATGCACCACATTGTCTTTATCCATTTGTCTGTTGATTGGCACTTAGGTTGTTTCCAAATCTTGGTTATTGTGAATAATACTGCAAAAACAAATGAAAGTAAAGGTGTCTTTTCAATATAATGATTTCCTTTCTTTTGGGTGTACACCTAGCAGTGGGATTGCTAGATCATATAGTTGCTGTATTTTTTAGTTTTTTGAGGAACCTCCAAGCTGTCCTCCATAGATGTTGCACTAATTTACATTCCTTCCAACAGTGTACAAGGGCTGCCTTTTCTCCACATCTTCACCAGCATTTGTTATTTTCTGTCTTTTGGATATAAGCCATTTTAACTGGGGTGAGATAATATCCCATCGTAGTTTTAATTTGCATTTCCTTATGATCAATGATGTTGAGCACCTTTTCATATGCCTGTTTGTCATTTGTATGTCTTCTTTTGAGAAATGTCTAGTCAGATTATTTGCCCATTTTTAAATCAGAACATTAATTGTTTTTCCTATAGAGTTGTTTGAGCTCCTTATATATTCTGGTTATTAGTCTCTGGTCAAATAGGTAGTTTGCAAATATTTTCTCTGATTCTGTTGGTTGATCTTCACTTTGTTGATTGCATCCTTTGCTGTTCAGAAGCTTTTTAACTTGATGTAATCCCATATGTCCATTTTTGCTTTGGTTGCCTTTTCTTATAGGGCATTTCTCAAGAAGTCTTTGCCCAGTCCAATGTCCCCACTGTTTGTGTAGTAGTTTCATAGTGAGGTCTTAGATTTAAGTCTTTAATTCATTTTTATTTTACTTTTGTGTATGGTGAGAGATAGTAGTCTAGTTTTATTCTTCTGAATCTGGATATCCAGTTTTTCAGCACCATTTGTTGTAGAAATTATTCTTTCCCCCAAGGTATGTTCTTGGCACCTTTGTAAAAAATGAGTACACTGTATGGATTTATTTATGGGTTCTGTATTCTTTTACATTGGTCTATGTGTGTGTTTCTATGTCAGTACAATGATGCTTTGGTTACTATAGATCCGTACTATGATTTGAAATCACGTAATGTAATTCTTCCAGTTTTATTCATTGTAGCCAAAACTTAGGATAGCTTTGGCTATTCTGGGTCTTTGCACTAAGTCTGTACATCACTTTGAGTAGTATAGACATTTTAACAATATTGATTCTTCCAGTCCATGAACATGGAATACTTTTCATTTCTTGTGTCTTTAATTTCTGACATCAATGTTTTACAGTTTTCATTGTAGAGATCTTTCTTGGTTAAATTAATTCCTAAGTATTTACTTGTACTTGTAGCTATTGTAAATGGGATTACTTTCTTGATTTCTTTTTCTGATTGTTCACTATTAGCATATAGATATGCTACTAATTTTTTATGTTGATTTTGTGTGCTACAAATTTACTGAATTTGTTTATCAGTTCTAACAGTTTTTTGATGGAGTCTTTAGGGTTTTTCCAAATGTAAGATCATAACCTGCAAACAAGGATAAGTAGAAGTCTTCCATTTTAACCCATTTATGCTTGAGGTTGCAATTTTTTGAATTTGAAAAATCGGACTTTGGTGATGACCTTGAGCAGTAGGATAAAAATAACTCCCACATGTTTAGTGTTCCAATAATGGAACACTAGGCATAAATGGGTTTTGAAAGCCCTTTATATCTTTCTCTTGTCTGTTTGCTCTAGCTAGGATTTCCAGTAGTGTATTGAATAATATTGGTGAAACTAGACATGCTTGTTGTGTTCCCCATTTTACAGAAAAGGTTTCGGTCTTTCCCCATTCAGTATGATACTAGCTATGAGTCTGTCAATACAGCTTTTATTATGCTGAGGTATATTCCTTCTATAAACAGTATTTTTATAGTTTTTATCATGCCAGGATGTTGAATTTTTTAAAAAAATTTTCAGCATCAACTGAAATGATCACATGGTCTTTGCCCTTCATTTTGTTAGTATGATGTATCACACTGATTGATTTGCATATATTGAATCATTCTTGCATCCGTGGCATAAATCCCACTTGGTCATGATGAATGACCTTTTTAATGTGTTCTTGAATTGAATTTTCTATTATTTTGTTGAGGTTTTTTGCATTAATATTCATCAGGGATGTTGGCCTGTAGTGTTTGTTTGTTTGTTTCTTTGATGTGTCTTTGTCTGGTTTTGGTATTGGAGTAGTAATGGCCTTGTAGAATGAGTTTGGAAGTATTCTCTCCTCCTCCACTTTTTTGGAATAGTTTGAGTAGGATTGGTATTAGTTCTTTAAATGTTTGGTAGAATTTAGCAGTGAAGACATTGGGTCCTGGGCTTTTCATTACTGGTAGACTTTTTATTAGGACTTTGATCTTGCTACTTGTTATTGGTCTGTTCAGCCTAATATTTTTTAATTAATTAATTTTTTTCTGTATGGATTCACATACATGAACCATGTATTTGCCTTTTCTAGCACAGTTCTAACATCAAAGAGTTGGCCATACTGGATGCAAAAATAGACTTTTACTTGGTAAATATCTGATTATTTTAAATAGCTTCCTTATTGCTTGCTCATTTTTATTTCATCTTTTATTTCTTTAAATATTTCATAAGGTAATTTTGTATTTTGTTTCTGATATTCCCATGTTAAATAATTAGGTGTCTAAATCTGATTGTTTGCTTGCTTTTGCTGAGTCTCACCCATTGTGGTTTTTGGACTCCTATTGGTTGACCTCAGTGAATTGAAACCCTAGGCGGTTATACTGGGGTTACATTTCATTATGTGGGATTTACTTCTGGAATTGCTAAGAGCCAGAAGATGCTATTAGCCAGTAATAACTTTAGATCCTTCAAGGGCACAGGCTAAATCGAGGAATATAAGGTTCTGCTCATATAGTCATCCTTGATAGTCATGTTCTCCTGAAATTTAGAGATGAACAATACTCAACTGTATGCAAACATAATTTCTGATGATGTATCGGATGCCTCTTCTACAGCACTTTAAATAACTTCTTTGTACCATCTCTCACTCTAACCACTGATACCATAATGGCCTCTCCCAAGTTTTGATGAGCTTCATACTGGTGCAACCTTACAGTGACTCATACCTTTTTGAAGTTAGATCAAGTTCCAACATTTCATGCTTTTCATTTTCTGTGTCATAGAATATACCCAAGAGTTCCTTGAAGGTGAAATTTTGCCCCACTTCATGTACCTCTTGCTTCCTGACCCAAATTTATCTAAGACACTATGGCACAGGGTGCCTACAAGAAGTTGCTTAATTCTTGGAAATGTGAGGTAGCTAATGCCATGGGGCTACTTCTGACCCCTGGGGGCTGGAAACATAAAGATAAATGTGTCTCTATCCTCAAGATGAATAGCTCAGAAATGCATTTCAAAGGGTCTAGCACCACAGTGTCCCTTAACAGCAGCCAATCCTATAACTCATCCTTATATTGACTTTCTTTATTTCCTTGTTCATCAAGCTTATCTATTTCTCCTGCTCCCTGGATCATTTCTCCAGTAAGCTTCCTGCACTCAGAACTTTGTTTCATACTCTGATTCCTGGTCAACTCTTCCTAAAACAGAACAAGATTAGGAAGAAAATAAAACAGAGTCAAATGATAGAGTGATTGGAGTTGAGGAGAAGAAGCTGAGAGCCTTTTAGGAAGAGAGGAGAGTTGAGCTGAGACCCCAAGGTATAAAAGGAGTCAACCCCATGAGAATGTGGGTGCTGTCTTCTAAATACAGAAACAACTGGTGGCAAACCTCTGAGGTGAAAAGAAACAGAAAGAAAATCAATGCAGTAGGAAAGGAAGTTAAATGTTTGGTCAAGGTCTGCTCCCAGAAGACCCTATCAGCCACTGTAGAGAATCTGGGATTCATTTTGATGGAATCAAGAAGCCTTTTGATAGTTACGGGAAGGAGAATAAGACAATCTGATTTGTACACGGTCAAGAAACCTGCTAGGCAGTCCTAAGAGTCAGATCCCAGAAACTGTGTTCATTGTTTAAAAATACATATAACTCACAGAACGGTGGCTCACACCAGGGATCCCAGCACTTTGGGAGGCTGAGGCAGGTGGATCACCGAGGTCAGGAGTTCGAGACCAGCCTGGCCAACATGGTGAAACCCTGTCTTTACTAAAAATACAAAAATTAGCTGGGCATGGTGGCAGGTGACTGTACTCCTAGCTACTCGAAAGTCTGAGGCAGGAGAATCGCTTGAACTAGAGAGGCGGAGGTTGCAGTGAGCCAAGATCGCACCATTGCACTCCATCACAGTGACAAGAGAAAAACTCTGTCTCAAAAAAAAAAAAAAAAAAAAAAAAAATATATATATATATATATATATATATATATACACACACACACACACAAACATACTGGGAACAATTTGAACTTGTTCTGAATTCATAATCTTCGTTTTGTATTTGAGAAAATGTCCTTATGTCTGCCTTCTATTTGTTTGTGTCCGAAGCCACATTACCTCTTCAGCTAATGTAGCAATCTTTGATGCTAAAAATAAACATACTGGTATATAAATATCTGACTGTGTCTCTATTTACAGGTGACATAATCCAAGTAGTAAAATTACAAGGCCAGAAATGGTAATTTTTTCCGTTCCCTGTTACATTCAGTCAACTTGTCCTAAATGAAGAGTTTCATTTATTAATTTCTACTCCTGTTAGCCATGTTTGAGAATGCTCACCTCACTGCAAAGTCACCAGCACTCAGCCCAAGTGGTCTCTCCTTCGCTAGGCAATCTGAGAGTGTAAAAATGACCACACAAACTGAAACTGTACAAAGGGATCTTAATAACCAATAGAAAAATGGCAATTATTCTCTGACCTTTTAAACTTTTTGTTAAATCATTAAAACTCACTCTCAGCTATAAATATATAGAGAAATTTAAAAGACAGTAAAATGCATATATTTAGTAGAACACTAAACATTAGAAACACTGAAAAGTAAGGTGTGCTATGAACTTAATTGTGTCCCTTCCTCAAATTCATATGTTGAAACTTTAATCCCCAAAGTGACTCTATTTGAAAATAGGGCTTTTAGGAGATAATTAAAGTCAGATGAGGTCCTGAGAGTGAATCTTATCTTATGTGATGGGTGACCTTACAAGAAGACGAAGAGAAAGAGATCTCTCTCTTCCCTCACTTGCATAAAGAAGAGGTCATGTGACACAGTGAGATAATAGCTGCCTATAAACTGAGAGAAGAAGCCTTGGAATAAAATCTACTTAGCCAGCCCTTTGATTTTAAACTTCCCAGCCTCCAGAACTGTGAGAAACAACTTCCTGTTGTTTAAATCACCCAGTCAATTGTATTTTGTTATGAAAGTCTGAGATAAGACAAGGTATTTTATTTCTTTGTTAAAAAGAAAACAAAAAGTTGGGCACAGTGGCTTGTGCCTGTAATACCAACTACTTGGGAGGCTGAGGCAGGAGGACTGCTTGAACCCAGGAGTTCAAAACCATCCTGGGCAACACATGGAGACCCCATCTCTAAAAAAAATAAAAATAAAAATACATAAAAAATTATCCAAGTGCAGTGGCACACACCTGTAGTCCCAGCTACTTGGGTGGCTGACATGGGAGGATCTCTTGAGCCCAGGAGTTTGAGGCTTCAATGAGCTATGATTGTGCCACTGTACTCCAGCCTGAACAACAGAGCAAGACCTCAACTCTAAAACCAAACAAACTTATCAAGAGTAGTTTAACCAGTGTTTGCCTTCCTCTTCTCATCATAGAACTTCTATACTCAAGCCAAATCTTTTCTATACCTTGGCAAATTGTCATACTCCCTTCTAAGTCTCAATCGGCTTCCAACATTTTATCCTTTGGGATTTCAATGTCATGAAATATCACCAGGAGTTTCTTGAATGTGAAAACTTTTTTCTAATGTCACTTTCTCTGGGACATCTTCATACTTTCACATGAATCACTTTTCTCATTTATATTGACAAGTTCACCTTCACTAAGTTCCTCTGGCTACACATGTAGAATCTCTCAAATGATGGTAGTGTCAATGTTCCCACAGTCAGCTCTTTCTTCTCTGATTTCACCCACATTCAGTTTTAATTTCAGTTCCAGTATTATCGTTTTTGGTTTCCTTCCTCCATTTTCATATTTATTGGCCAATTCCTTAATTCAATTATCCATTTCTATAAAACTTCATGTAGTTCTATCACTGGCAGACAAGAGGCAACACAACTACATGCATTGCTGTCTGTGCATAATATAAATAACCGGTGCACAGTGACCAATTGCCAATGGGCTTTGAAAGAAATGACATCATGGGTCTCTGGTTATGATGTTCATCTGTTATTTATGTAGTTATTTGTGGATTGAAGAACTAGTAAGAGAAGATTGGAATTCATACAATTACAGTTAATATTCTGTGGTAACTGAAATTTGAACTGTGTTTTTGGAGGGCTGCTTGCTAGTGAATTAACTGGTGGTGAATGAAATTTGTGCATGTCACTACCATACAAAACAAATACTTACTATATTATGTTTTTCATCTTCATCATTTAGATAGATGAAAGGTGACAAGTCTTGGTGTTTTTTATATTATACTTTAAGTTCTAGGGTACATGTGCGCAATGTGCAGGTTTGTTACATAAGTATACATAAGCCGTATTGGTTTGCTGCACCCATCAACTTGTCATTTACATTAGGTATTCCTCCTAATGCTATCCTGCCCCCAGTCCCACAACCCCCAACAGGCCTCGGTGTGTGATGCTCCCCACCCTGGCCATGTGTTCTCGTAGTTCAACTTCCACCTATGAGTGAGAACATGTGGTGTTTGGTTTTCTGTCCTTGTGATCATTGGTTTAGAATGATGGTTTCCAGCTTCACCCATGTCCCTGGCAAAAGACATGAACTCATCCTTTTTATGGCTGCATAGTATTCCATGGTGTATATGTGTCACATTTTCTTAAGCCATTCTATCAATGATGGACATTTGGGTTGATTCTAAGTCTCTGCTATTGTGAATAGTACCACAATAAACATATGTGTGCATGTGTCTTTATAGTAACGTGATTCATAATAATTTGGGTATATACCCAGTAATGGGATTGCTGGGTCAAATGGTATTTCTAGTTCTAGATCCTTGAGGAATCACCACACTGTCTTCCACAATCGTTGAACTAATTTACACTCCCACGAACAGTGTAAAAGCGTTTCTATTTCTCCACATCCTCTCTAGCATCTGTTGTTTCCTTACTTTTTAATGATCGCCATTCTAACTGGCATGAAATTGTATCTCATTGTGATTTTGATTTGCATTTCTCTGATGACCAGTGATGATGAGAATTTTTTCATATGTCTGTTGGCTGCATAAATGTCTTCTTTTGAGAATTGTCTGTTCATATCCTTTGACCACTTTTTGATGGAGTGGTTTGTTTTATTCTTGTAAATTTGTTTAAGTTCTCTTTGGATTCTGGATATTAGCCCTTTCTCAGATAGGCAGAATGCAAAGATTTCCTCCCATTCTGTAGGTTTCCTGTACACTCTGATGATAGTTTCTTTGCTATGCAGAAGCTCTTTAATTTAATTAGATCCCATTTTTCCATTTTGGCTTTTGTTGCCATTGCTTTTGGTGTTTTAGTCATGAAGTCTTTGCACATGCCTATGTCCTGAATGGTATTGCCTAGGTTTTCTTCTAGGGTTTTTATGGTGTTAGGTCTTACCTTTAAGTCTTTAATCCATCTTGGTTAATTTTTGTATACAATGTAAGGAAGGGATCCAGTTTCAGCTTTCTACATATGGCTAGCCAGTTTTCCCAGCACCATTTATTAAATAGGAAATCCTTTCCCCATTCCTTGTTTTTGTCAGGTTTGTCAAAGATCTGATAGTTGTAGATGTGTGGTATTGTTTCTGAGGCCTCTGTTCTGTTCCCTTGGTCTCTCTCTCTATTTTGGTACCAGTACCATGCTGATTTGGTTGCTGCAGCACTGTAGTATAGTTTGAAGTCAGGTATCGTGATGCCTCCAGCTTTGTTCTTTTAGCTTAGGATTATCTTGGCTATGCAGGTTATTTTTGGTTCCATAGGAACTTTAAAATAGCTTTTTCCAATTCTGTGAAGAAAGTCATTGGTAGCTTGATGGGGATGGCATTGAATCTGTAAATTACCTTGGGCAGTATGGCCATTTTCATGATATTGATTCTTCCTATCCATGAGCATTAAATGTTCTTCCATTTGTTTGTGTCCTCTTTTATTTCGTTGAGCAGTGGTTTTTAGTTCTCCTTGAAGAGGTCCTTCACATCCCTTGTAAGTTGGATTCCTAGGAATTTTATTCTCTTTGTAGTAATTGTGAATGTGAGTTCACTCAAGATTTGGCTCTCTGTTTGTGTGTTCTTGTTGTATAGGAATGCTTGTGATTTTTGCAGATTGATTTTGTATCCTGAGACTCTGCTGAAGTTGCTTATCAACTTAAGGAGATTTTGGGCTGAGACCATGGGGTTTTCTAAATATACAATTATGTCATCTGCAAACAGAGACAATTTGACTTCCTCCTTTCCTAATGGAATACGCTTTATTTCTTTCTCTTGCCTGATTGCCCTAGCCAGAACATCCAATACTATGTTGAATAGGAGTGGTGAGAGAGGGCATCCCTGTCTTGTGCTGGTTTTCAAAGGGAATGCTTCCAGTTTTTGCCCATTCAGTATGTTATTGGCTGTGGGTTTGTCATAAATAGCTCTTATTATTTTGAGATACATTTCCAACAATACCTATTTATTGAGAGTTTTTAGCATGAAGGGATGTTGAATTTTATCAAAGGCCTTTTCTGCATCTATTGAGATAATCATGTGGTTTTTGTCATTGGTTCTGTGTATGTGATGGATTACGTGTATTGATTTGCATATGTTGAACCAGCTTTGCATCCCAGGGATGAAGCTGTCTTGATCGTGGTGGATAAGCTTTTTGATGTCCTGCTGGATTTGGTTTGCCAATATTTTATCAAGGATTTTCACGTTGATGTTCATCAGGGATATTGGCCTAAAATTCTCTTTTATTGTTGTGTCTCTACCAGGCTTTGGTGTCAGGATGATACTAGCCCTATAAAATGAGTTAGGGAGGATTCTCTCTTTTTCTATTGATTGAAATACTTTTAGAAGGAACGGTACCAGTTCCTCTTTGTACCTCTGGTAGAATTCGGCTGTGAATCTGTCTGGTCCTGAACCTTTTTTGGTTGGTAGGCTATTTATTAATTATTGCCTTAATTTCAGAACCTATTATTGGTCTATTCAGAGATTCAACTTCTTCCTGGTTTAGTCTTAGGAGGGTGTATGTGTCCAGGAATTTATCCATTTCTTCTAGATTTTCAAGTTTATTTGCATAGAGATGTTTATAGTATTCTCTGATGGTAGTTTGTATTTCTGTGGGATTGGTGGTGATATCCCCTTCATCATTTTTGTTGTGCCTATTTGATTCTTCTCTCCTTTATTTTTTACTAGTCTTGCTAGCTGTCTATCTATTTTGTTGGTCTTTTCAAAACACCAGCTCTTGGGTTCATTGATTTTTTGAAGGGTTTTTTGTGTCTCTATCTCCTTCAGTTCTGCTCTGATCTTAGTTATTTCTTGCCTTCTGCTACCTTTTGAATTTGTTTGCTCTTGCTTCTCCAGTTCTTTTAATTGTGATGTTACGGTGTCGATGTTAGATCTTCCCTGCTGTCTCTTGCGGGCATTTAGTGCTATAAATTTCTCTCTACACAGTGCTTTAAATGTGTCCCAGAGATTCTGGTATGTTGTATCTTGGTTCTCACTGGATTCAAAGAACATCTTTATTTCTCCCTTCATTTCATTATTTACCCAGTAGTCATTCAGGAGCAGGTTGTTCAGTTTCCATGTAGTTGTGTGGTTTTGAGTGAGTTTCTTAATCCTGAGTTCTAATTTGATGGCACTGTGGCTGGAGACACAGTTTGCTGTGATTTCTGTTCTTTTACATTTGCTGAGAAGTGTTTTACTACCAATTATGCGGTCAATTTTAGAATAAGTGCAATGTGGTGCTGAGAAGAATGTATATTCTGTTGATTTGGGGTGTAGAATTCTGTAGATGTCTATTAGGTCTGCTTGGTCCAGAGATGAGTTCAAGTCCTGGATATCCTTGTTAACCTTCTGTCTCATTGATCTGTGTAATATTGACAATGGGGTGTTAAAGTCTCCCATTATTATTGTGTGGGAGTCTAAGTCTCTTCGTACGTCCCTAAGGACTTCCTTTATGAATCTGGGTGCTCTTGCATTGGGTGCATATATATTTAGGATAGTTAGCTCTTCTGGGTGAATTGATCTCTTTACCATTATGGAGGGCCTTCTTTGTTTCTTTTGATCTTTGTTGGTTTAAAGTCTGTTTTATCAGAGAATAAGATTGCAACCCCTGCTATTTTTTTTTTTTTTTTTTTTTTTTTTGCTTTCCATTTGCTTGGTAGATCTCCTTCCATCCCTTTATTTTGAGCCTATGTGCATCTTTGCACGTGCGATGGGTCTCCTGAATACAGCACACCAATTGTTCTTGACTCTTTATGCAATTTGCCAGTCTGTGTCTTTTAATTGGGGCATTTAGTCCACTTACATTTAAGGGTAATATTGTTATGTTTTAATTTCATCCTGTCATTATGATGTTAGCTGGTTATTTTGCTTGTTAATTGATGCGGTTTCTTCATAGTTTCGATGGTCTTTACCATTTGGCATGGTTTTGCAGTGGCTGGTACCGGTTGTTCCTTTCCATGTTTAGTGCTTCCTTCAGGAGTTCTTGTAAGGCAGGCCTGGTGGTGACAAAATAGCTCAGCATTCGCTTGTCTGTAAAGGATTTTATGTCCCCTTCAGTTGTGAAGCTTAGTTTGGCTGGATATGGGATTCTGGGTTGAAAGTTCTTTTCTTTAAGAATGGTGAATATTGGCCCCCACTCTCTTCTAGCTTGTAGGGTATCTGCCGAGAGATCTGCTGTTAGTCTGATAGGCTTCCCTTTGTGGGTAACCCGAGCTTTCTCACTGGCTACCCTTAGCAATTTTTCCTTTATTTCAATCTTGGTGAATCTGACAATTACGTGTCTTGGGGTTGCTCTTCTCGAGGAGTATCTTTGTGTTGTTCTCTGTATTTCCTGAATTTGAATGTTGGCCTGCTTTGCTAGGTTAGGGAAGTTCTCCTGGATAATATCCTGAAGAGTGTTTTCTAACTTGATTCCATTCTCCCCGTCACTTTCTGGTACACCAATCAAATGTATATTTGGTCTTTTCACATAGTCCCATATTTCTTGGAAGCTTTGTTCATTTCTTTTCACTTTTTTTTCTTTAATCTTGTATTCTCACTTTATTTCATTAATTTGATCTTCAATCACTGATATCCTTTCTTCCACTTGATCGAATTGGCTATTGAAGCTTGTGCATGTGTCATGAAATTCTTGTGCCATGTTTTTCACCTCCATCAGTTCATGTAAGGTCTTCTCTACACTGTTTTTTCTAGTTAGCCATTTGTCTAAACTTTTTTCAAGCTTTTTAGCTTCCTTGCGATGGGTTAGAACATGCTCCTTTAGCTCAGAGAAGTTTGTTATTACTGACCTTCTGAAGTCTACTTCTGTCAACTCATCTAACTCATTCTCTGTCCAGTTTTGTTCCTTTGCTGGCAAGGAGCTGCGATCCTTTGGAGGAGAAGAGGCACTCTGTTTTTTGAAATTTTCAGCTTTTCTGCTCTGGTTTCTCCCCATCTTTGTGGTTTTATCTACCTTTGGTCATTGATATTGGTGACCTACAGATGGGGTTTTGGTGTGGATGTCCTTTTTGTTGATGTTGATGCTATTCTTTTCAGTTTGTTAATTTTTCTTCTAACAGTCAGACCCATCAGCTACAGGTCTGTTGTAGTCACCAGCAGAGGCTGCAGAACAGCAAATATTGCTGCCTGAACATTGCCCTGGAAGCTTCATTCCAGAGGAGCACCCGCCTGTTTGAGGTGTCTGTCAGCCCCTACTGGGAGGTGTTTCCTAGTCAGGCTACATGGGGGTGAGGGACCAGCTTGAGGAGGTAGTCTGTCCGTTCTCAGAGCTCGAACACCATGCTGAGAGAATCACTGCTCTCTTCAGAGCTGTCAGACCGGGATGTTTAAGTCTGCAGAAGTTGTCTGCTGCCTTTTGTTCTACTATGCCCTGCCCCCAGAGGTGGAATCTATAGAGGCAGCAGGACTTGCTGAGTTGTGGTGGGCTCCACCCATTTCATGCTTCCTGGCCTCTTTGTTTATACTGTGAGCTACTCAAGCCTCAGCAATGGTGGACGCCCCTCCCCCTGTGAAGCTGCAGAATCACAGGTTGATCTCAGACTGCTGTGCTAGCAGCAAACAAGGCTCTGTGGGCGCGGGAGCCACCGAGCCAGGCAAGGGAGAGTATCTCCTGGTCTGCTCGTTGCTAAGACTGTGGGAAAAACACAATATTTGGTCAGGAGAGTATTGTTTCTCCAGATACAGTCTGTCACACCTTCCCTTGGCTAGAAAAGGGAAATCCCCTGACCCCTTGCACTTCCCAGGTGAGGTGACACGCCGCTCTCCTTCAGCTCACCCTCCGTGGGCTGCACCCACTGTCCAACCAGTCCCAGTGAGATGAACGAGGTATCTCAGTTGGAAATGCAGAAATCACCCATCTTCTGTGTCAATCTCGCTGGGAGCTGCAGACTGGAGCTGTTCCTGTTTGGCCATCTTGGAAGCACTTGACAAGTCTTGTTTAATAAGTTTGAATCCTGTCTCTCGAATCCTACCTCTCAAACATATCAGCTGTATGATTTGAACAAATTACTTATTCTAATCCCTTTGAGTTTCAACATCTTTATTTGTAAAATAGAGCCAGTAACCACACTTAACATTATGGTTTTTTTCTTTTGGTTATCATTCATTGGGCACTTATCATGTGCCAGGTAGGATGTTAATATGGTAAATTCCTAGTAAAAGCCACATTTAATTTTCCCTTTCTTTGGGGATTTCAGTGTTTTCCATATTGTTTGGTAAATTGTTTCTTTATCTCCCTCAAAGTTGCAAGTTTGGCTTACAAATTTCAAAGATATTCTGTTCATATCAGTCGCTATTCACCCATAAGATTACACAGCCAGGCACAGTGGCTCATGCCTGTAATCCCAGCATTTTGAGAGGCCAAGGTGGGTGGATCACGAGGTCAGGAGATTGAGACCATTCTGGCCAACATGGTGAAACCCTGTCTCTACTAAAATACAATAAAAAAAATAGTTGGGTGTGGTGGCACACTCCTGTAGTCCCAGCTACACAGGACACTGAGGCAGGGGAATCACTTGAACCTGGGAGGCGGAGGTTGCATTGAGCCGAGATCACACCACTGCACTCCAGCCTGGTGACAGAGCAAGACTTCATCTCTAAATAAATAAATAAATAAATAAAAAATACACCTCAGAATGGTCATGACCTGCATATAAAGTCTCTTTTCATAAGACTTATTTTAAACGAATAACTGAAACAAGTAGTAGTTAATCTGTGCATTAATGTTAAAGTAACTCACACAATAAAGTCAAAACAGTTGATATTATCTGAAAATGACTATATCCTTGATTGATAAAGCCTTTTGTATTGCAACACAATACTTACAACTGAGAAACGGTAACTTTAAAGTCATACCACTATTGACTTTGAGGAGAGCCTTCCTATAGTTTCTGTAATTTTAACTTTTAGATTCCTAATTTAGTTAAGCAATTCACAAGAATTCTATTACTGACTTTATAAGTCATAGCTCCCAAACAAAATACTGATGAAACCTTCAATTCTCCAAAAATTACATGCCCTTGAGAGAGTTACTATTTTGAGAGACATTTTATCTTTTCAGATGCAAAAGGGAAACTTGCATGTACAGATGGGCATCTTCTTTGAGGCATATGCTAAGATAATAAAACCACAGGCATTTCTTCTGCATAGAATTGTGTCACAGGATTGTAATGCACAAGACTGCTTTGAAAATACTGTTTTCTAACTTGAGACCTTGGTCATAGTTAGGAAAGAAAACTAAAGTCACTGGACAAAATGAGGGAAAAAAAAAGATTGTCTTGCATTGAGTCTTTTTAAATGAGTCTTTTTAAATGAGTGTACAGTACACATTAGTCATTACTAATGGTTTTAAAAGATAAAGAAGACCAAAAGATACATACAAACCAGCTACCATCACTTTTAACTTAAATTTCAATTATTCTGTGTCATATTTTCATGAAGGTGAGTTTACTGTGATAGTTTTAAGAGTAATATCTTCCCTGGAATCATCAGAGGTGTCTTTTAATAATTGTCTTCTTAGAGTTGTTAACCTGAAACATTGAGATTATATATATTTAGTACAGGAAACTTCAATAATTACAATGTTTTAGGTAAGAGGAAACCATACTAGTTAAGATAAAAAAGAAGAAAAATACCAAGTACTAGGAGCTCTCAAATACTTCTAATGGCAGTGAATTGGCAACCACTTTTGAGAAGTGATGTTTCTCACCAAAGATGTAAACATGCACACTCCATAAACCAAAAGTCCATTCTTAGATAAATTCACAACAGAAATATGATATGTGTTCATAAAAAGATGTATTAAAGTATTTATGAAATGTAATCCCCAGTGTTGGAGGTGAGGCATAGTGGCAGGTGTTTGGATCATGAGGGTGAATCCCTCATGAATGGCTTGGACTATTCCCTTGGTGATAAATGAGCTCCTGCTCTGAGTTCACAGGAGATATGGTCATTTAAAAGTGTGTGGCATCCCTCCACACATACACTCTCTCTTTCCCTTGCTCCTGCTCGGCTATGTGAGATTGCCTGCTCCCCCTTTGTCTTCCACCATGATTGTAAGCTTCCTGAGGCCTCCCTAGAAGCCAAGCAGATGCCAGCACCATGCCTCTTGTAAAGCCTGCAGAACCACAAGTCAATTAAAACTCTTTTCTTTATAAATTACCCAGTCTCAGGTATCTGTTTATAGCAATGCAAAAATGGCCCAATACAGCCCCATACTAGGAACTACCCAAATGCTCATCCCAGTTTAGTGGATGAATGGTGGTATATTCACTCATCAGCAATGCAAATGAACCATCTGCAATGACATGTAGTCTGGTGGACCAATCTTTGAAACTTAATGCTAAATGAAAGACCTCAGACACACACAGGAAGTACATACTATATAGGATTCTATTCTATGAAATACAATACAGGCAAAATTAATCTATACAATTAAAAAGCCCAAATAGTGGTTACTCTGGGGAGTAGGGAGATTTGTGTCTGGAAGGGAGCAGGAGTGGGCTTCTAAGATGCTTGTTTGTGAGTGCTAGTCACACAGTTGTATTCAGTTTGTGAAAACATATTGAATGGTCCACTTTCATGTGCACATTTCTCCATGTAAATTATATTTTAATAAAATTTAAACCATAAAAAATAAAAGCAGAATGCTTCGGATAAGATAATTTTGTTTGCTCACTTCAATTTATATACTGTTTTCCACATTAACTTTATAACAATCAACAGCAAAGAATTCTTAATAACAAAACTATCATCTTCCCTGCAGAACATTTTTTAATTAACTAGTGATTCATTCATAAAACATAATGCGGAGTCTAGTTCTTCCACAAAATGGCATTGCAGTAGACACCGTCATAGTAACGTCACTTATTTTTCTGATGTGTTTAACCAGATTAGTACACCTGAAGATTGCAAAATAAATATTTTATACCCCACTTTAGAAAGGCATTTTATTACACAAACATTAAAATCCCCCTTCCAGAAAATACAACATAGTTAACTGAATTTGTATCCTACTGAAGTTTCCTTAGCTCTTAAAAGGAAAAATACATAGCGTCAAAATTATCCTTGAAAATTCCCCAGTGATGTGGTACACCAGAGACTGAACTACAACTCATAGTCTGTACAAGATAGATGGTTTTTGCTTTAACACTAATTTGATCACTTTTTCTCTGATTGAAGATGAGATAAAGGAACTAGCTGGTATTTACAATTATATTAATAAAAGGAAACAAAAATATCAGAATCACACCAGCCTCAGAAGCACGTGGGAGCTGTAATTAACTGAGGTAACAGCAAAGTCATGGAGTCCAACTCAGAGTTCCTGTAGGACGTACACTCACTGGGTAGAGTGGCTGGTTGGACTGCCCTTATTATTTAAATTATTTTCCCTTTTGCTTTCGCTCAGTCCCCATCCCTGACCCCAATGTAGTGCGCTCATAATTGAATTCATAAAATTTTTAGTTTACTCTTCTGAAAAATCGGAATATCTACCTTACATTGTAATGGCAAAATGTAAATGTATCTAAAACACCTCCTGGGCAGCATAGTATCCAGCATGTTGTGAGTGCTCAGTAAGTAACAGCTATTATTATTGTGGTAGAAGAATGTGAAAATAAATAAAAGATATAAAATTATGACACAGTACCAAAGCAAAGTTTAAAATTAATTACACTTTTTCAAACTGTGTGGAAAATTTTTAAAAATTTTAAAAATATGTAGTATCCACCTCACTCAGCATCCTTTTCCCAAAGCTCAAGACCATGTGGACACTGTGGTTCCCTTTCCACTCCCCTGGCAATATGGCTTTGATGGCCCTCCATCAAGAGGTGAGGTGTATTTCTTAGGCCACTGGATGATTGCTGGCTATGGAATGCTTGGCCAACTGAACTCAGCAAAAGGGGCTGAGTGCCTATTCCAGATTTAGGCCTCCAGAAGCCATGTGGGCTCTCACTTGGTCTCTGGGGACTCTGCCTCAGTCATGAGCATAACTTTGGGCTAGCCTGCCGGAGGAAGAGATACAATGTGGGTCAGAGGCCAGTCAGCCTACTTATGCCAGTTGAGGTCCCAGACACCTGCCAGACCCACATTGATTAGCAAAGCCACCAAAGCCAGCCTACAGCTCTACTGTGGTCACTCACAGCTGACCACAGACACACAAGGAAGACACACTAGTACTGCCCAGCAGAATCATAAGCCAAATACACAATTGTTATTTTAAGTCAACATATTTTGAGTGAATTTTTACTCAACCATACCTATCTGATAGAGACTGCCTATTTTCTAATCCATTCAAAATTTTTATTTAACCCTAGAGCATTAATTGCAACATGTGGTTCAGACACATTGTAGTATTCCTACACATTATGTAATATGTTCAGACATTCCATAATATTCCACAAAGACACATATGTGCACAAACCCAGGGGTTGGGTATATAAAAATGTGTCCCATTGATTCACCTCTTTCATAACAGAGTATCCATGACCCTACAATAAAAAAGACTTAGACCCTAATCACCAGCATAGTCTGGTCATTTTCCATCTGTTGCATTATAAATAAATTATTTAACCAACATGTGTATCAGAGATTCTGGCCAACGTAGTAGAGTATGCATCTTCTTTCAAACTTGATGCACAATTAGGAAATACCTAATTGAGAAGATCAACTTTAAATACCAGCTTAGAATTATGAATAGTTACACAGGAGTAGGTACTTTTAATCTTTTTAAAATTTAAATAGGTAAAAAGGAACATATAGGTTGGGTGCGGTGCCTCATGCCTGTAATCCCAGCACTTTGGGAGGCCAAGGTGGGCGGATCATGAGGTCAGGAGTTTGAGACCAGCCTGGCCAATATGGTGAAACCCCATCTCTACTAAAAATACAAAAAAATTAGCTGGGCATGGTGGTATGTGCCTGTAGTCCCAGCTACTCGGGAGGCTGAGGCAGAAGAATCACTTGAACCCAAGAAGCATAGGTTGCAGTGAGCCGAGATGGCACCACTGCATTCCAGACTGGGGGACAGAGCGAGACTCCAACTCAAAAAACAAAAAAAAATACCGAAAAATTAAGTTTATCTTCTTTCGCTGTTCCATTTTAAAGGCAGTGTCATCATTGCCAGTGTGTTACGTATGCTTCCAGAGATGCTCCATTTGTTTTGTATATATATTGTACATGCATGTGTATTTGCATGTATGTTTACCTGCTCCCCTCCTTGATGCTTTGCACTTTACAGTTTGTCTTGGAACTCATTATCGGTATGTATAGATTTTAAAGCAGAGAGATTTGAAATGAGATGTTCCCAGGCCAAGGCATACGGGGGTTAATGGTTGAGTGACGGTAACGGCCAGTCCTCCAGTAAATAGAAGACTGTTAAAAGCTTCACATTTTCTATTCACTTTTCAGTACTTTTTTATTCCTTTCACTGACAGGGTATGATTGCCAGAAAGTTGGGGATCATTAGAGGCCATTTCTTTCCCTCTCTCTTTGAAGCAACGTTTAATGGACCTATAGTACATGCTTAAGCCTGCAGTCGTCACTGATTTAAATAAAAAATCAGTCCCAAAACCTGAAAGGGCTGAGAGAATGGGACTTCAATTTGGACCTAGGTCTTATAAGGGTTTAATTATTTGTTTATGGAAATATTTTATTGTCTTAATGATATTAGTCATTATTTAATAAGAAGTCATGTATTGCCTAAGACTGTCTTACGTGGGGGATCAATTTACAACCTTAAAAGAAAACCAAATGCTGAGAAAAGCAGCAACCAAGTGTCAGAATGTCTGGTTTATAGACCCCAAGCCCAGAAATAATTAGATCATGCAGGCAGGGATCTTACAGATGCAAGTACTGTGTTCAAAGAACAAGGCCACACTTACTCAGAAGCCAAGTTTATCCAACTCAGGATTCTGCATCTTTCAGAGGAACATTTGTGGCTCGACGATTGCCCATCATGAAATCACCTTTAAAAATAGAATGATGCACCACAAGCACATCTAAATTCCTTTTAGCATCTAGTACAGAAAAACAAATCAGTGATGTAGTTTCTAAATTTCTGAAACAGTTTCTAGTCTGTATTATGTATTGAAGAGACATGGCTTGGGTTTGGTTTGGTTTTGGTTTTGGTTTTTTTATTCTTTTCATCTATACCACCTACTTTAGATGACTTTAGCTACATCCTGAAGATATAAAGTCAATAACATAGTAGCAAGTTATTATAAGAAATTAAATCTGCAGTTCTTTTTTAATAATCAGATTAAATTCAGGATACATTTCCTAACATAAGAATTTCAAAGTGCTTAAAATCTGGGACAGATTTTTTTTCAGCAATGTTACGGGAACTAACGTGGGAGGAAGAAGGGGGGGAGGCAGAAGAAAAGGAAGAAAAGGAGGAAGGAGAGGGGGAAAAAGGCAGGTTGAGGGGAGGAGGAGGGAGGGAGAGAGGAAGAGAACCAAGATAGCCTACTCCCAAAAGTAGTGTTTCCATGGAGAAGCAATGCTATTAGAGACACTTAGCTTGCAAGATGACTAGGACACATTCTTAACTTTATATTGGAAGATTACCATGTATGCTAGTTTTATCTCATATGAGGCAGCAAATTTTCTTAGAATACCAACAAGTGGGCTTCAGAGAATTATATAGTGAGGACACAGTGATCACTACAAAAATAAACAAAAGCTTTCGGTTTATTTCTCACTGGGAGAGAGTCTGTAAAAGGCTGAACTTTTTGAAAAGTGAAATCTGATGCAAAAACTTCATCTAAGGAAACATTAGCTTGAACATCCGGGGAGGTGGGAGTAGAAATCGTCTCACACTATTTTTTCCTCTCTATTATATTTTCTCTTCCTGATAATTTTGGGAATAACATCATGTCCTATATTCTGTCAGCTACTGCTAATGCTCTGAACTTTCAGTTCCTGCCTGGCAGGGATCCATCAATCCACAGTCTTTTCACTATTAAACCTATTTCTCAATGTAGGTCACTTGAGTCCAAATTACTCAGTTACAGATAAAATATAACCCTCCACTAGAGGGATGTATTTTTATCCCAACATTCAAAGAGTTGCCTTTTTAACATGGCCTAGTGTTAATGGAGGTTACACTCATAACTCTTCAAGAAGAAACTATAACTTAGAAATCTACTCTCCCCTTGATAATTAGGTTTAACTTCTATTAACATAAAATGAGAATTATGTGACTTAGAGGAAGTGAGATAAGGTGCCTTAGTTTAAACTAATGATGAAAATTGTGACTTCTCCATATTGTGGAAGTCTCTTCTGAAATCATACTAGCATTTAGGGAAATGCCACTATAACCCCCACAGCTGTTGCCTAGAACCCAAATATTGAGAAAGAAATTAGGAAGCTCTGTATCATGTCTGTATGTTGTTAGTGACACTGAACTTCCTAATTTGTTATTTTAAATCATGACTTACTGTACTTCATTGTAAGGGAGATTCAATTTCTGAGTGTATAGTTGACTACAAGCGATGTATTCAATTTTTTTTTTCTCAGTGTCTCTTATCACCTCTTACAGAAGGGCCTAGTAAAGCTTTTATGCCAAATCCTGACTTGGCTTTAAGTCACTATGTATGTACTATTTTACACATTTAGCAAGATGTAAATGCAAATTTAGGCATCTATCAGATATTTAGCAAAGACCATAACACTTAGACAATTCTGATCAAAAATTTAATTTTTATACTATTGAAAAATCCACTACTTATGCAAGTGGTATATTGAGAATATTATTTAGGAAGTTTTACCCTTAAATCCTAATGTTTTCCTAATAATATGTTACATAACCAAAGAAAAGTCATATTACCTAAATCACCCATTAGAAAAACTAACATTGAATAAAGACCACCAGTTGAGCTCATGGAATTACCAGAGCACTTTATAATGATCATTCATTCACATGGGGAACTTTTTCAAGCAAATTCATATGTGGAATTCAACTGGGATGAGAGATTGGGTTAAATAAGACCCCAAACAGAGTCCTGAGGCACCGACATGTGTAAACATCACCAGCTAAGGTATTTAAGTCTTAGGAAAGTGTACTCACTAATGACTTATTTACTTTTATCTTAGACATACTTTTAACAATGTTACCTATTTCATTTTCCTGTGAATATTATTAACAAATAAATTATAAATAGAAAGAAAGCTCTTAAGGCACGCTTCCTGAAAGAAGTGCTGTCTAATACTGAGGCAAAGTATAGAAAAATAACATAGCATTGTATGCAAGTATTCAAAAAGCATACTCCTCTTGAATCAGCAAAGGTACCTCAAGATACCTCTGTTTCCCACATGGTTCGATAACAGTAAAAAGGATAACCCCTAGGCATCTTATACAGAACATGAAATTCTGTTCAAACTGCAACTTAAGATGGTGGAGAAAGCCACAATCCATTGTAGAAAGGCTTTCATTTTATGGCTAAAATGTTTTTTTATCGTTATTGTTGTTAAGGTTTTTCTCACAGATGATATAACTACAACTAGCTAAGCAAGTCACCTATGACAATGTGAACTTGCCACTGTCATAAAGGAAACAAAGTTATTGTGTATGCTTTGATTGTAAACTACTGGGAGTCAATTTCATTTGACCAATATTGAGTCCCTACTCTAGGCAAAACACTTGGTATGGAAAATGCATTTGAAATGAATAACTTTGTTATACATATAAGTAAAATTTCTTATCTATTTCATTTAATTAATTTCTTAATCTAGTCATTAATGACAATGGCTGTTAAAAATTTTTATACCTATGTCTTACAAACCCTTCCTCAGCCTATCAAAACACAGCTTCAAGAAGAAAAATGGATTTTAATAATAACAACAGCAAAGCCTTCTCTAGAATTAGCTAGGTTTCAGACACTGTTCTAAGCCTTTTGAACACATTACTTCATTTATTCATTTAATCCTTACAACCTTTTGCAAAATAGGTACAATCATCACCTTTATTTTTGAGACAAGGAACCTACCCAGAGTTATCTGGAAACTTGCTCAGGGTCTTACTGCCAGGAAGTAGTGGAACCAAGATTCAAAAGCCAAAGCTTTCTAGAGGGAGAGGGAGGATTATCAGGATGTTCATGAATACGAATTTTAAAATAATCCACAAATGAAATGTTGTAAGTATCATGAGTGCCAGCTATGCTGTATTTGGAACTATCTATTGAGTACAATGGTCACTTTTGGGGTGATGGGTACACTAGAAGTCCAAACCTCACCATTAAACAATATATACATGTAACACTGCACATGTACCCCTGAATCCAAAATAAATAAAATTTTTAAAAATAATAAGAAACATAAAAGTTTTTATTTTACCTTCAGATAAAGAACTATCAACATGCTGTGGCTAAGTCTGAATAGATATTTAAAACTCTCCAAAAGTTGTCATGATTTGTTTCAAAGGACTGACCAAAGATACATGCATTGCCTATCACCAGTTCAAATGCAAACTGCCTCAAAGAGCCAAAATGTCAGAAATATCAGATAGCCTTGTATACAATGGCCTAAGAACATTTTCTTTTCAATCGGTTTATCACACAATATTCAAAATTTACTATTATTAATGAATCATGAGAACTAATGTTTCAAATGCATAAGAAAATACAAGCCATAAGAGATAAATACAATTGTGTGCATGAAGAAAGATTCTTGGTGAAAGCAATGTCTGAAACAGTGAATTCTTTTGGTTACAAATGGTGGAAACCCAAATCAAACTAGTTTAGGTAAAAGGGGTGGGAGGAGATATTTTATTCACTCATAAAACTAGAAGGTCACAAGTTCATCTGACTCAGAAGCATAAACAATGTCCCTAGCACTCTGCCTCACTTAGCTTTTATTTCTTCTGATAGTATGTGGGCTTCATTCTCAGGCTCATGTTTCCAGAAGGCTCAGAAGATAGCAACAAGTAACCTCAAATATGCACCTTTATTGATGAGCTACCAAATCTCAGATAAAATTCTAATTGGCCTGACTTGGATTGAGGGCCCTTTCTTACCTAATCACTGCAGCCTAGAGGTCAAAGAACACATAAGGTTGTACCAGCACAAAGCTGGTCAAAACTTGGAAGAGGCCATCATTGCATCAGTGGCTAGAGTGAGAGATGGCACAAAGAGGTTATATAAAGTGCTGTATAAGAGACATCTGATACACTGTCAGAGGTTATGTATGCATACGCTTGAATATTGTCTATGTCTAGATTTCAGGAGAACATGACTATCAGAGATGATTAGATGAGCAGAACCTGAGATTCCTAGATTTAGCCTGTGGCCCCCGAAGGGTTTAAAGTTGTCCCAGGCTAATATCCCCTGGCCCTTAGCAAATGCAAAAGCAAATCCCCCATGGTGGAAATTATCCCCGGTGTAACCCCCTAGGTTTCCAATGCATTAAGGTCAACCAGTAGGAGCCCACAAACCACCATGGGTGAGAGAGTCAGCAAAAGCAAGCAAACAATCAGATTTAGACACCTAATTATTTAATATAGGAATATAAGAGACAGAATATAAAATTAGTTATGAATTATAGTAACAAAATCAAAGAACCTGAGGGGCTCTCCCTGAGTGCCCCCACGGGATTAACTGCTTAATAGGACACCACGGCAGTTACCCAAAGGAAAAATAAAATGTTTTCTTACGTGAAGAAAGGGGAAGATTATGTTGAACAGGTAGAAACAACATTTGACTGCTACTATCATGATTTTCCCATGGAGAAAGCTCAGATTTCATGCAGGGTAACAACTTCCTTGTATTCAGGGATAGTTATGTGTCAAGCACTGTGCTAAGCATGTCACATGCCTCCTTTCATTTAATTCTATGGCAATATTGAGGTAGACATGATTGTTATTATTTCTAGGAATGATGTGAAATTGTGTACCTATTCACCTATACCAGCTATTTACACCAAGACCTTTCTAACTGGCCAATGTGCGTTTCAGTTAATTGGTTCCTGTGCCATACTAGTTGATGTATTTCAAATAACCAATTCTGCTTTTTCTTTTGTTTCTTTTTGAGACAGGTTCTCACTCTTGCTCAGGCTGGAGTGCAGTGGCATGATCATAGCTCACTGCAGCCTGAAGCTCCTAGGCTCAAGCGATCCTCCCACCTCAACCTCCCGTGTAGCTGGGACTACAGGAATGTGCCTCCACCCCTTGCTGATTTTTTTAAAAAAATTGTAGAGATGAGGATTCTCTATATTGCCCAGGCTGGTCTTGAACTCCTGGGCTCAAGCAATCCTCTCACCTCAACCTCCCAAAGTGTTGGTATTACAGGCATGAGCCATCAGGCCAGGCCTTCCTGTTTATTTTCAATACTGCCATAAAGCAACTGAGATTCACAGAGTTTCATAATTTAAAAATGTAAGTTCAGTAAGTACAAATCCACTAGTAGGAACTCAGTAAATGTTATTCATTATTAATGTTAATTACTGTTAGCATAAGCATGACAAATGCTATAGGGACATTATATTTTAATGGTTTAAGATATTCATTAAAGTATAATTTTCATAAAATAAATGCAAATTCTATTTTAAGTGCACAGCTTGATGTGTTTTGCCCAAAGTATACAGCCTTGTAACTACCACCACATAAGACAGACGTTTCTCTCATCTCAGTTTTCTCTTGCCGCTTTGCAGTAAATTCCCTCATCTCTCCTGGACAACCACCAATATGCTTCCTGTCACTATAGTTTTCCCTTTTCTAGAATTTCATATGAATGGAAACATATAATACACAATCTTTTGGATTTATGTTCTATTGCTCAGTATAACAATGAAGTATCTATTGAGAGTCATCTATGTTGGTGCATGTTTAAGTGGTTTGCTCCTTTTTGCTGTTTAATAGTGTTTTATTGTTTGGATATACCACATTTTCCTTATCCATTCATCAGCTGATGAAAACTTTGGCTTATTCTAATTTTTGGATTTTACAAATAATGCCGCTTTGAATATTCACTGCAGCATTACAAATCTAAGGTAGACAGTATCAGTTGAGCAGTTAATCCCCCGCAGTTAATCCCATGCATGTTCATTTTCCTTGGGTAGATAATAAACCAGGAAAGGAACCCATGATGAGTCATAAAAACAAGTACAAGTTTAACTTTATAAAAAACTGCCAATCTGTCTTCCAAAGTGGCTATAACATTTTCTCATTTCTATCAGCAATGAATGAGACTTCCATTGGCTTTACATACTTGCCAACACTTAGTATAGTGAGTCTTTTCAATTTCAGCCATTTTAGTGGATATCCAGTGCTTGTTTGTGAATTTAATTTTCATTTTGCTGATGACCAGCAGGATGGGACACATACAATATGCTTATTTGCCATCATGTATCTTCCTCAGTGAAGTGTCTGTTCAAATTTTTGCACATTCTTAATTGTTACATGTTTTCTTATTGAGTTGTAAAAGTTTTTCACAAATTCTGGATACAAGTTCTTAGTCAGATATATGGTTTTGCAAATATTTTTTACTGATCTGTCAATTACCTTTTTCTTAAGAGTCTTTCAAAAATAAATGGTTTTTAACTTTGATAAAGTCCAATTTATAATTTTTTTTCTTTTCTGGTTAATGCTTTTTGTATCATACTTAAGAAATCCTTGGTTATACCAAGAACACAATGGGTTTTTTTCCTGGTTTTATACAGATGTTTTATGGTTTTAGGTTTTACATTTAGGTTTACAATTTATTTCCATTTAATTTGTAAATTATATAAATATCAGGGTTGAGATGCTTCTGTATTTCACCCCAGAGAGATACTTAATTATATTACTTTTCTATGGCAGCTATAGAAAATTAACACAAACTTACAGTTTTAAAACAACACAAATATATTATTGTGCAATTCTATAAGTTAGAAGTCCAAGTTGTCAGCAAGGCTACATCTCTTTCTGGAGACCTAGGGAGGAATTCATATATTTGCCCTTTCTATCTTCCCGAGGCAACTCATATTCTGTAACTCATGGCCTCTTTCTCCATCTTTAAAGCCTGCAACATTGGACCAGTTATTCTCCTCTACCATCTCTCTGGTTCTTTTCTGCCTCTCTCCTCTCAAAAACACTTGTGATTACAGTGGGCCCACCTGGATAACCCAGTTTATCTTCCTATTTTAAAGTTAACAATTGGATTTGCAAACTTAATTCCTCTTTGCCATGTATCCAAACACATTCACAGGTTCTGAGAATTAGAATCTGGACATCTTTGGGGTGGGGGTGGAGGAATTATTTTGTCTATTGTATCAAATGTACCAAGGCTGTATGTTACAAAGACTCCTTTTCCCATTGAACTAATGTGGCATCTTGGTTGAAAATCAGTTGACCATGTATGGATCTATCTCTGGATTCTATTCTATTCCTCTGATTTCTTTGTCTATCTTTTAAACCAGGGGTCCCCAACCCATGGCCTACAGACTAGTTTTGGTCTGTGGCCTGTTAGAAACCAGGCCACACAGTAGGAGGTGAGTGACAGGAGAGTGAGCGAAGCTGAGCTCTGCCTCCTGTCAGATGGGTGGTGGCATTAGATTCTCATAGGATCATGGACCCTATTGTGAACTGTGCATGAGAGGGATCTAGACTGCATGCTCTTTATGAGAATCTAATGCGTGATGATCTGCCACTGTCTCCCATCACTGCTAGATGGGACCGACTAGTTGCAGGAACACAAGCTCAGGACTCCCACTGATTCTATATTATGGTGAGTATGTAATAATAATAGAAATAAAGTGCACAATAAATGCAATATGCTTGAGTCCCACCCCATCCCAACCCATCTGTGGAAAAATTGTCTACCTTGAAACTGGTTCCTTGGGTCAAAAAGGTTGGGGAATACTGTTTTAAACAAAACCACATTGTTTTGTTCACTGTAGATTCAGGTCAGTTACTGTAAGCCCTTCAACTTTCTTCCTTCTCACAATTATTTTGGCAATTCCAGATATCTTGTATTTCCATATGTGGATTTTTGTGGGAATTGCATTGGATTTATATGTTCATTGGATAATGGACATGTTAACAATATGGAGACTTCAGACAGCAAACATGGCATCTTTCTTCACTTATTTAGGTCTTCTTTAATTTATCTCAGCACTGTTTTGTAATAATTACTATACAGGTCTCACATATCTTTGTTAAATTTATTTCTAAGGGCTATACTTATTTCAGGTTCCATTGTCAATGCAATTGTATTTTTAATTCCATTTTCCAGTTGTTCATTACTGTTCTTAGAAATGCAGTCCTTTTTTTGTATATTGCCTTCATGCCTTGTGAAGGCACTAATAGCTTTTTAAATATATTCCTTAGGATTTTCTACATATATGACAATATCATCTGCAAATAGAGATAGTTTTTCTCCTTTTGTACAATCTTATTATTTTTCTTCCCTTATTGGACTGATTTAGACCTCTAGAACAATACTGAATTGAAATGGTGAAAGCAGACATTCTTCATTATTCCATATTTTTGGTATAACAAATTTAGTCTTTTACTAAGTATTATGTTTACTGTGAATCTTTTATAGAAGCCTTTATCAAGCTGGGAAGGTATTTTTAAATGCTAGTTACCTGAAATTTTTATCATGAATAAGTGTTAATTTTTAAGAATTTTTTTCTACTGCTATCAAGATGGCCAAAGAATTTTTCTTCTTTATTCAATTAATATGATGAATTGCATTGAGTGATATTTGAATATTAAGCAAATCTTCAATTCTTGAGATTAAAGCCTCTTGTATGTGATGAACTATTCTTTTTATATAATGTTGAATTTGATTTGCTAATATTAAGAATGTTTTCATCTATATTCATGAGAGCTGTTGGTCTGTAGTTTTCAATTTTGGGAATATCTTAATCTGGTTTTGGTATCAGTGTAATACTGGCCTCGTAAAATCTGTTGGGAAGTGAACCCTCTTCTATTTTCTGAAACAGTTTTTGTAAGATTGTTACACTTTCTTCATTAAATATTTGATAGACTTCACTAGTGAAGCCACCATGTCCTATCGTTTTCTTTCTCAGAACATTTTTAAATTACCAATTTAATGTTTTTAATGGATATAGGGTTATCTAAGTGCTCTATTTCTTCTTGAGGCTATTTTGGTGAGTTGTTTTTCAAGATATTTGTCCATTTCATCTAAAGTGTCAAATTTATTGGCATAAAATTTTTCATAAAGTTTCCTGTTATGGATTTATGCTCTTATTTTTATTAATTCATTTCTTCTACTTAATTAGTTTGCTGGTTTTTGCTAGCTTCCTATGGTGCAAGCTTAGATCTTGATTTGAGATGTTTCACCTTTTAAACACAAGCATTTAAATCTATAAAAGTGCTGCTGAACACTGATTAGCCACAATCCACAAAATCTAATATGCTTTTCTTTCATTTTTTGCTATTAAAATGTTTTCTAGTTTTTAAATAATTTATATGATGATACAGAATACATAAAATTTACCATTTTAATCCTTTTAAGTGTACAGTTTAGTAGCACTAAGTACATTTATGCTGTTGTGCAGCAGTCACCACCATCCATCTCTAGAACAACTTTGTCATATTTCCAAACTAAAACTTTACCCATTAAACAATAACTCCTGATTCCTTTTCCTGAACCCCTGGAAACTACCTTTCTACTTTCTATCTCTACAAATTTGACAATTCTAGGTACTTCACATAAGTGAAATCATACAATATTTGTCCTTTTTGGTCTGGTTTATTACACTTAGCATAATGTTTTCAAAGTTCTTCCATGTTGTAGCATGTGTCCAAATTTCCTTAATTTTAAGGCTGAATAATATTTCATTGTACATATTTACCACATGTTGTTTATCCATTTATCCAACAATGGACATTTGGATTAATACTACCTTTTAGCTATTGTGAATAATGCTGCTATAAATGTGAGTATAAAAATATCTCTTTATGTCACTTTTTTCAATTTTTTTGGATATACACCCAGAAGTAAAATTTGTAACTTTGTTTTGAACATGGGTTATTTATAACTGTATTTTTTATTGTCCAAATATTTGGGTGATTTTCCAGATGGTTTTCAGTTATAAATTCATAATTTAATTCTATTATAGAGAAAACATCATATGATTTAAATATTTTTGTATTTGTTGACATTTGTTTTATGACCCTGCATTTGGTATATCTTAGTGAATGCTCCATGTGTTTGTGAAAAGAATATATATTATTCTGTTTAGGCATAAACTATTTTATAAATGCCAGTTTCTTTATGTTGGTTCATATTGTTCAAACCTTTTTTTTCTGTTTTTTTTGTTTTTTTTTTTTTTGCGATGGAGTCTCACTCTGTCGCCTAGGCTGGAGTGCAGTGGCACAATCTCGGCTCACTGCAACCTCTGCCTCCTGGGTTCAAGGAATTCTCCTGCCTCAGGCTCCTGAGTAGCTGGGATTACAGGCATGCACCACCATACTCAGCTAATTTTTGTATTTTTAGTAGAGATGGGGTTTCACCATGTTGGCCAGGCTGGTCTTGAACTCTTGACCTCAGGTGATCCACCTGCCTCGGCCTCCCAAAATGCTGGGAATACAGGCGTGAGCCACCGCACCTGGCCTATGCTGTTGCAGGAAGTCAGGGACCCTGAACGGAGGGACCAGCTGCAGCCGAGGCAAAGAAAATAAATTGTGAATATTTCATGGACATTTATCAGTTCCCAAAATTAACACTTTTATAATTTCTTATGCCTGTCTTTACTGCAATCTCTGAATATAAATTGTGAAGATTTCATGGACATTTATCACTTCCCTAATAATACTCTTATAACTTCTTATGTCTGTCTTTACTTTAATCTCTTAATCTCATTATCTTCATCAGCTGAGAATGTACCTCAGGATGTCACCTCAGGATCACTATTGTACAAACTGATTTTAAGACATGTGTGTTTGAACAATATGAAATTAGTGCACTTTGAAAAGAACAGAATAACAGTGATTTTGGGGAAGAAGGGAAGATAACCATAAGGTCTGACTGCCTGCAGGGTCAGGCAGAATAGAGCCATATTTTTCTTCTTGCGGAAAGCCTATAAGTGGATGTGTGAGTAGGAGAGATATCGCTGAATTCTTTTCCCAGCAAGGAATAACCCTGGGGAAGGAATGCATTCCTGCGGGGAGGTCTGTAGATTACTGCTCTGGGAATGTCTGTCTAATGCAGTTGAGATAAGGACTGAAATACGCCCTGGTCTCCTGTAGTACCCTCAGGCTTACCAGGATTGGGAAACTCCAGCCTGGTAAATTCTAGTCAGACCAGTTCTCTGCTCTTGAACACTGTTTCCTGTTAAGATGTTTATCAAGACAATACCTGCACAGTGGGACATAGACCCTCATCAGTAATTCTAATTTTGCCTTTGCCTTGTGATCTTAATTGTCCTCTGAAGCATGTGATCCTTGTGACCTACTCCCTGTTCATACACCCCCTCCCCTTTTAAAATCCCTAATAAAAACTTGCTGGTTTTGCAGCTCCAGGTCGTCATCACGGTCCTACCAATATGCGATGTCACCCCCGGAGGCCCAGCTGTAAACTTTCTCTCTTTGTACTCTTTCTCTTTATTTCTCAGACCGGCTGACATTTAGGGAAAATAGAAAAGAACCTACGTTAAAATACTGGGGGCTGTTTCCCCTGATACTATGCAAATTTTTTTATATCATTACTGATTTTTTACCTATTTGTTCTAATTACTGAGAAAGGAGTTTTGAAATTTGTAACTATACTTGCTAATAATTGTTAAATTGTCTATTATCTTTTCAATTCTGACAGTTTTTGCTTCATGCAATGTGGAGCTCTGTTACTGGGTACACAGACTTTTATAACAGTTTTATAGAACCATTGTTCCTGTTATACTGATTCTTTTTTTAATCAAATATCCCTCTTCGTCTACTAATACTACTTTATCTTTTTTTCATGGATTGAAAAAAATCTTGTTTTCTTTTTAAATAAGTGTTATTGTAAATATTTAAAATATACAACCTGATTTTATAAAATACACATATATATATATATATAGTTAAATGTTTACTATAGAGAAACAAATTAACATATCTATTAGGTCACATAGTTACCCATTTTCCTTTCTATAGCAAGAGCAGCTATAATTTTCTTATTTAGCAAAGATCCTGAATACAATGCATTATTATTAACTATAGTCTTCATGTTATACATTAGAGCTTTCAACCAACTCTCTTTAAAGTGTAATTTACATGATATTCATATATCCCATTTATATTTTCTTTTTTTTCATCATATCTCTGACAAAGAGTTATTTTCTTTAATTCACAAAGGGCTCAAACAAATAAATCAAAATAGTAAGAATGGGCAGTATTTATGAACAGGCAGTTTATAGGGGAAAATAGCATAGACCAATAAACATAAGAAACATACTTAACCTCACTAAAACCTAAAAAAAATACAAATCACAATACTAATGATATATCATTGTGCCTTAATTTGATTGGGAAAAATAATAAAGCATTGATAATAGTATGTATTGGGAAATATTTGGAAAATAAACTCACTTTTCATGGCAGTATTCAACTATTTGAAGGAGATATTTGGCAATATATATCAATATTGAAAATGTATGAAATATTTGCATCAACAACTTTAGTGCTAAGAATTAACTCCATAAATAATAATAATAATAAATTACTTGCAAAAGTACACAAGATATAAATATAGACATGTGCATTGCAGGATTGTTTTAATAGCAAAAAACTGGGAAATACTTAAATATCCATTTTTAAAAATGGGGTAAATAAATTATGGCACATCCCTACAATAGAATTCCAAGTTGCCGCTAAAATGAGGTACAACCATATTTCTTGATCTAGACAAAAGTCTGTAATATATTAAGTGTCTTTAAAAGTTATAAAATAATAGGTTTGCTATGTCCCCATTTTTTGTAAAAACAAAGAGAAACAAAAACTCTGTGTGTGTGTGTGTGTGTGTGTGTGTGTGTGTGTGTGTGTGAATGTACAGGTAAAAAAAAAGTCCAGACCATATGTTTTCTCTCAATAGTGGTACCATGAGTGATTGTCACTTAGTACTTTATATTGTAGCATATTTTCTGAAAATTTTACCAAAAACATGAATTATAATCACTGAAATAGGAGGTATTTTTATATACATAAACAATTGGCGGGGTGAAGAGAGGTGTCAAAATAAGGTCATTTATGACAAATTAGGTTTTCTACTTTGGGAATATTTGCAGCTGTCTATAGCAGGGTGTGCCTTCCCCTAACTTTTCAGCTTCACCAGTCCTAGCCCACCCCCATAGATCACTGGGAGCTTCTGGGGACCTGTTTGTCCTGGATACTCACTCAGGCTTTCCTCTGTTTTAGCCTCTTTCTCTCCTGAGAGCATTTCTCAGGCCACCTCATTAGTTTCCTGTTTGTCCAATGTCTTGGATGTTGGGGGCTGGTGGAGGTAGAAAAGTGGAGAGCTTCTCATCAAATGCAAAGGCTGAGGACCTGGCCTGCCTTCCCTTACAATCTCCTCCAGACCCTGCTTCTTGGTGTCTGACCCTCATTGGGTTTCCAAACTGCAGGTTACATAATGAATCAATTTACTGTCATGGCCAGTGCTTTAAAAAACTACAATAGAGTAGAAAATATCAAAATGTATCATGTGCATTAAAGGCAAGTATTGTTTATAAAACTTTTGTTTAGGACATATAGATTTTATATATATATATATATATATTTCACAGTCAAATAATTTGAAAAATACCGATATAAATTGTTAAAGTGATTAATAACAGGTCTTAAGTCCTGAGAACAGAAATCCATCCAGAAAGCCCCAGCCCCTTTCCAATTTTGGGCTCTTTCTCCTCATACCAAACAAGGAAACCACCAAAAAAAAAAAAATGGTGAAAAGGAGAGCAGGACTCTGACCCCCCGTGGTGGCCAGGTGACTTCTGGTGGATTCCAAGGTCACCACCCAGATCCCAGAAACGATCATAGCTTAACATTGGAATATTAAAGCATGGTCTTGCTTCTCATTTGGGGAATTCCAGCATCACAAAATTCTGGTTCTGAGAAGTATTCTCTCTTTTTTGCTTGACTCTTTTTGTTTCTAGTTCAAGTTTTTCAGCTGTGAAGTATGTTGGGACTTTACCTCTGGAATAGAACAATTCACCATCAAGACTTTGCCTTCTATCACCTCCTTCTTGTCCTGCATTGCTCTGGAACTGACCACTCCTTTCACTAACACCTGGTACTCTGGCGTGGTTTTCTCCTTGTTGTTCTGAACCAAAATGTACTTCTATTTCCCTGAGTCATAGACCCAAGCCTGAGAAATGAAAAATACTTCTATGTTGCCTAGGGAGAAGTAAAAATGTTGTGCCATCCTTCTAAAAAAGCACCAGGTGCTGAGGCTTGATGTACAAGGTGGTGCTGGCATCTATGATGCACTACAGGGTCAGGTTCTGCTCTGTTTGCACCAAATTTGGCTGGATCTTCATGAGGATGCTGTTGATGGTGTAAGAGTTTTCTTGTTTTCTTGACCCTCAAAGCATGAAAAGAGAAGAAGTATCAGTAGGACTCAGGGATACCCCAATAGCATCCCGAGGTTAAAGACTGCCAGGCATAGTTAGTTCCACCTTCAGACCATGCCTTTTGGGCAGAAGACACTTCCACGCTTCGGCACTCTTCAAATTGTTCTCTCACCATGTCCTTCCTTCCAGTCCCTCTTTTTAAGCTTACTATTTGAATAGTGTGTATCATTTTCTATCCTTTTACTTAGAGTTTATTTGTGTCTGTGTTTAAAGTACAACTTTTATAGACAGATCTTGGTTTTTAAAAATCCAATCCAATATTATCTGCCTTTCATTTAAAATATTTACCCATATATTTAATATGATTATATAACAGGATTTTAGTCTGCCATCGTGCTATTTGTTTTTTTCTCTCATCCCTTTTTTATTCCTCTCTTCCTCCTTTCCTAGCTTTTCTTTGGTTTTCCACAAATATTTTAGTATGTCATTTTACCCTCTGTTAGCTTTCAACTATATTTCTTTGCATTTTTTTTAGTGGTTGCTTAGGGTTAACAACGTGCATTGTTAGCTCATGATAATTTTCTTAGATTTAATATTGAATTATTATTATTATTATTATTATTATTATTATTATTATTATTATTATTGAGACAGGGTCTCACTCTGTCACCCAGGCTGGAATACAGTGGCACAATCACTCCTCACTGCAGCCTCATCCCTCCAGGCTCAAATAACCTCCCCACCTCAGCCTCCTATAAACCTGGGACTACAGGTACACATCACCACACCCAGCTATTTTTTTATTTTTAGTTGACACAGGGTCTTGCTATGTTGCCCAGGCTGGTCTTGAACTCCTAGGCTCAAGCAATCAGCCTGCCTTGGCCTCCCAAAGTGCTAGGATTGCAGGTGTGAACCACCAAATGTGACCTTGAGTTATTATTTTTATTAAAATACCAGAATCTTAAAACAGTACAGTTCCATTTACCCTCTATCTTCCATGCTGTTGTTCTCACATATATTACACCAATGTACTTTATAAACTCTATAATGTCTTTTCAAAAATATTTAAAAGAGAGAACAAAATATTTGTATAAGCTTTTATATTTTACCATATTTTTTCAACGCTTCTTATTTCTTTCTGCATATCCACATTACCATCTGGTGTCATTTTCCTTGCACTCAAAGTTTCTTTAGTGTTTCTGGTACTGCTAGTCCGTTAGCTATGGATTTTCTAGGTTTTTGCCTAAAAACTTCTATTTCATTTTTATATTTGTATTATAGTTTGACTAGTTATAGAATTCTTGGCTGCCAGTGTTTTGTTTTTGTTTTTTTTTCTTGATTACTCAGTATGTTGAATATGTAAGTCGAATGTCTTCTGGTCTGCATTATTTCTGGTGATAAATCAGCAATTGATCATATTGTTGTTTTTCTCTTGCTACTTTCTGCATGTAATGTATTGTTTTTCTCTTGCCATTTTTAAGGTTTTCTGAGGTTTTTATGTTTTCTTTTTAGGTGTCTTGCTGTAGCGTACTGAGATTGGATTGTTGGTGTGTGTGTGTGTGTGTGTGTGTCTTTATATTATTTGGGTTTCATTGAACTTCTTGAGTGACTAAGTTAGTGGGTTTTCTTTAGCAAATTTAAGAGGATATGGGCCATTCTTCCCTCAAATTTTTTTGTCCCTTTCTCTCCTTCTTCACCTTCTGGGACCCCATTCACACACATGTTGAACTGTTTGATGTTGTTCCACAGTTTTCTGGGGTTTTGTTCATTTTTGCTAAATGTTTTTTTCCATGTTATTCAAATTTGATAGTTTCTACTGATCTAACTTTAATTTCTTCTTCTTCTTTTTAAAGACAGGGTCTCCTTTTGTCACCCAGGCTGCAGTGCAGTGGCACAATCACAGCTCATTGTAGCCTCAACCTCTTGGACTCAAGTGATCCTCCCTCCTCAGCCTCCAAAGAAGCTGATACCAGAAGTGCACGCCACCGTGCCCAGCTAATTTTTTATTTTTTGTAAAGACAGGGTCTCCCTCTTTTGCCCAGGCTGGACTCAAACCCTTGGGCTCAAGCAATCTTCCTGTCTTAGCCTCCCAAAGTGCTAGGATTACAGATGTAAACTACTGTGCTGGCCAATTTCACTGATTCTTTATCCTGTCATTTCAACTCTGCTTTTGAGACCATATAGTGAAGTTTTCATTTCCAATACTGTACTTTGTAGTTCTAGAATTTCCACTTGTTTTTTTCTTATTGCTTACATTTCTCTGTCACAATTTCCTATCTGTTTATTTATAAATATTATAGTCTCCTTTAATTATCTGAATGAATTTAAAATTGCCTCTTTGAAATGTTTATCTGCTCAATATATCATCAAGGCCCATTCCGTGTCAGTTTCCATTGACTGTCACACAAACTCAGGCAAAGAAGCACCATCAAGTTTATTTCTATATCTAGTAATTTCTTGTTTTAAATTAAATGTTGTAGATTATACCTCGTAGTGACTCTGAGACATCTGAGGATTATTGGTTTGCTTGTTTTATTATTTTCATTTGAGTAGGCAATTTGATTGGTCTAGATTCAAACTATGAAAATAGTTTCCCCTACTACGTACAGTAGCTGGTGTTTGCAGTTCTGGGGTCAGCCAGGGATTTGGGGAAAGTTTATACTCGGACTTTGAACTTCAATACTTTTGCATCTCTCTCACTTCCAGAATTCGTTTGTAAAGGTCAAATATTCCTGTCCTCTTGGTGCTATAATCTACTTCAAACTGGTATGACTGGTTGGGGTAGTTCACTGGGGGAAACCATGTACAAAAGCCATAAATGTATAGTTTTTGCCAGTCATGCCAGACATAGTAGTCCAATTTTTAAAATATTTGTTATTAATATAATTTAAGTTATTATGAATTTGTAAGGAACAATAGAGATCCTACATATACTTTACTTATATGTTGTAACATTTTGAAAAACTACAGTACGATATTATGACCAGGATACTAACACTGACTGATATTATCCACTGATCTTATTTATATTTCCCTGATTTACATGTATTCATGTATGTGTGTGTTTGTGTATGTAGTTCTATAAAATTTTGTCATATATGTAGATTCACATATTTACCACCACAGTCAAGCTACTCAACACTTCCTTAACTCCAAGGATCCCTTTTATGACCAAATTCACTTCCCTTCCACCCCTATCTCTCTTAGCCCCTAGAAACCACTAATCTGTATACCATTTCTCCAAGTCTGTCATTTCAAAATGTTGTATAACTGGAACTCTACATTACATAACCTTCTGACATTGGCCTTTTTCACTTAGCATACTTTTTCAGAGATTCATCCAAGTTAGACAGAAATCAATTGTTATTTTCTTCTTATTGTTGAGTTGCATGCCATGGAATAAATACACCACAGTTTGTTTGCCATTCACTGGTTAAAGGTTATCTGGGATGTTTCCAGTTTTAAGCTATTATGAATAGCTGCTATGAACATTTGTGTACAGTATTATTTGTGAACATAGGTTCTCATTTTGCTGCATAAATGCCTAAGAGTGCAATTGCTTGGTTATATGGTAACTGCATGCTTAGTTTTGAAAGAAACTATCAAACTATTTCCCAGAGTGACTATCATTTCTCACTGTCACTAGCATAAGTGATTATTATCTCCACATTCTCACCAGCATTTGGCATTGCTATTATTCTTTAGCCACTCTGATAGATGTGTAGTTATATCTGATTGTGGTTTTAATTTGAATTTCCCTGAAGGACTCATAGCTAGTATATATAAGGGACTCTCAAAACAATCTTAACAAACAATTAGAAAATCAGCAAAATATATGAAGAAATTTTTCACTGGAGAAGACATAGAGGTGGCAAATTCCAAATATGGGTCTTTTTACACTGTTTTCTGAAGAAAGAACTGCCTGGCATCTTCACATCACCATTACTATATGTCCGCTGTGTAACACTCTATAGTCATTTTATTATGTAAACAAAGACTTTGAAGTTACACAAAAAAAATTTACAGCATAAGTATCATGTAAAATAGAATTTCATGATATATTTTAATGTTGCACTATTAAAAACACAAACAGGCTATGTGTAGATAAAAGAATAGAAATAAATATACCAAAAGATAAAATTACCTTTGATAATAGTAATATGAGTGATTTTTAAACCTATGTTCCATTTATTTGTACTAGTGGGAAGTTAGAAAGTTAGCTTCTATGATTACTAAATTGTGTTTAGCATTTTTATTAGGTTGCAACTTAATCATTGCTGAAAATGTGTTTGTCAAAGAGGTTAATGAAAATTCTAACTTGAACATTATGGACAGTCACAAGAATTTCTATTTATTCTCTGTACTCAATTTTAATAAGGCAGTACATTTCCTTAAATCTCCTGAAATTGCAAGTAACTTCAGATAAGAAAAGCATATAGCTTTTTCATATTAAGCACATGTTTAGGTAATGATTACTACTAGATTTAGCAGTATCATCCATACAAATTACATACACATAACATGTTAACTATAGTAACATCCTATGAATAATTTGAGCAAGTTGTAACCATATTCTAAAATAAGAACTTTAAGGCTAGCCCTCTAAAATGTTTAAATTAGTATGCAATAAATCAATGGGAACTACCCCTAAGGAATATTATCCAAATATGAGATATATTTTTAGTTGAACATTTAAAAAAAATTCACAAACAATAAATAAAAATTAAGTAATGAACTAAGAGCTTTATGGACATTTAGGCAAAATCTCTTAGGAAAAGCTAGGCCCTGAGCAATTTGTTCTAATTTGCTAAAGATGATATTTTCAAGTTATTGAGTAAATTAGGATTTCCTATGAATGCAGCTGAACATTCTGGATTAGCTTAGACAAATCCATATAATATACTTAAAATTTATTTTGGTTCTTTTTTTTCCCCCAGAACCAACAGGGAAATCTTTCCTCCCTAGAAGTCCGTACATCCAGCATATCAAATTCAGTCATTTTGACTCAATTATTATAGACAATATTCCAGAAAGTTGTGATTTTTAATTTATAAAAGTTCATAAACACCTATAATTAAAAGAGAACTAAAAATGACTCATGAGATAATGAAACCATTCCCATGCCAGGATTACAAAATTCTGAAATCTCTAGGTGGAGAGTATAAACCTTTTATCTTCACCATAAGGCCATTAACATTTAAAAATTGGCAAGGTTGGCATTTCATGTAATAAATAATTTCTTATGATATTACTATCCACACATCAATGCCAGAGGTCCATGTTCCAGCCTGACCTAGCCATGCTTGTCTGGAAGTTGCCGAATATTACTTTTAAGAACATTCCTTTTGCCTGCAATAAGAGCTAGAGAAAAAAAATCCTCAGAGCACAATATTAATAATTAGTATGCCGATGCTTAGTGTACTTTTAAGAGCTCATAAATTAGAAGTTCAAGTTATGAATACTGCAAACACTCCGCTAACACATATGCTCCTAAAAACACAGTGGGCCATAATGAGGGAGCTGAATAGGGGTAGTCTTAAAAATTTATATATTATTCATTTCCCATTGGGTTTTATAACAAACAACTCCTCGAAGGAAATGAGCTGCCAAATAAAAGTTACAGCAAAGTAATCCTGGGGCTGCGACTGAATCAGAGAATAAGAAAATATTTTATTAGTGTTGAAAATTCTGCCCCCAACAGATAGAGCAGCGGACTGGATATAAAAGTTCTGGTTTGCTCCTGAGGCCACAGGCGATGAGAATTAAAGATTTAACTTACTGCATCTGAAAGGCATTTTAAGTTTTTCAACAGAAATGAAAATGTGGCAATATGGTTGTACTGATATTACATACCTCAGAAAGCCCTGCCAAAACTTCTCAGCAGCCAATATCCTCAATTTACTTCATCTAGTAAAGTGTTAGTTTCTGCTTTAGGGGCCTTATTTTAATTTGAAAACATCCCATTGAGTATTGAGCATATGTGATGAATTTATGCCTGAGGGGTTTCCCCTCTTGGTGCCATTTCTATTTCGGAAAATTTTGTTGAATAGGTACATGTTGTACCTTGAAAGAAATACCTAGCTGACGGTTTGGAAGGTTGATATTCCCAGGGTGATGTATTGGTCTTTTCATTTTTTTTCAGTGACGCATTTGGCAGGGACATACGTTAACGACTGAGAATGCACAAAGCCCACTTCCATCAGAGAATTTATGTTTCGGTGCATTGAGCTCTCTCGTCATAAACTTTTATGTTTCCCCCCAAAAAACCACACCCACTGACCTAAAGCTAGCACCCTATAGCACACTTTTCTAAGAGACTCCAATGATAGATAGATGGTCTTCAATTCCAGTCCTTCCCACCCCACTGGCACTATGACCTTGTAGGCAAATTGCTGTCATTGATTGTTCTAGTAGTTATACTGTAAGATGAAATCTATTGTTTTTGCAAAACTGTTCAGGGAGATGGCCTGTGCTAAGGACTGAATATTTGTGTAACATCCCACTTCCCAAATTCCTATATTGAAGCCCTAATTCTCAATGTAATAGTATTAGGAGGTAGATCTTCCAGAGGTATTTAGGTTTAGACAAGATCCTGAGGGTGGAGCCCCATGATGGGATTAATGTCCTTATAAGAAAAGGAAGAGGCACAAGATCTCTCTTGCTCTCTTCTCTGTGTGCATCCATCAAGGAAGGCTGGGTGAGGACATAATTAAGAGGAAAGCCCTCACCAGAACCTGACCATGCTGGCACCCTGATCTTGGACTTTCAGCCTCTATAACTGTGAGAAATAGGTAACTCCTATTTATAAGCCATAACCAGTATATGGTAATTTGTTATAACAGCCTGAACTGACCACAACAGCCTACGAAGTTCTTATTTGTTTTTGAAATTAATTACAATTCAAAATAAGAGTTAGCTATAACTATTCAACCCTGATTGACACACTTTGAAAAAATTGTGTTCACACTTTATTAAGGGAGTTTAATCCTGGGGTAGCAAGAGTAACAGAAATGGGGACGTGAATTAGGGAAGGAAGGGAAACCAAAGCAGGGTGGTGCATCAGTAAGTTGACCTTGGCTTCCCAGCAGAACATAACACCATCACTCAGTCGCTCAGAAGCCACATGGGATGGCCATGTTGAAGAACGGTCCATCAAGGGGAATGGTAGCAACACTATCTGTGGCTCCTTTCCCCTCTCCTATCACTTACTGATCAAAGTTCTCCCCACGGGCTATTATCTTTCCTGCACTTTTATATTGTGGTACAAGGCCCTTCTGGGCAGCTCTGGGAAAGCCAGAGCCTTGTAGGTCCAGATCCAGGAGCTGGAACTGCTATGGACCATGCCACAGTGAGTACAACCAAGCCTAGGCTTTTGTCCCTAGGGAAGGGAATGTCCACAGGAACTTTAGAAACATAAGAACAGGAGCCTTCCCTGGGCCATTCCAACAGGATACTGGGCAGGTAGCTGAGGCCCCAAGTGAGAGGGTGCAGGCAGACTGAGCAAGTATGAGGTGGCACATAACCTGGATCTAGTACCTCTCCCCTTGTGATGGACTCATTTAAAGAATATGTGGTTCTTGCAGCAACATGGGTGGAACTGGAGGCCATTATCTTAAGTGAAACAACTCAGAATCAGAAAGTCAAATACTACATGTTCTGACTTATAAGTGGGAGCTAAATAAAGTATATACATCAAGCGTGTGGAATAATAATCATTGGAGACTCTGAAAGTGGGAGGGTGGGAGAGGGATGGGAGATGAGAAATCACTTAATCAGTACAATATACACTATTTGTGTGATGGTTACAATAAAAGCCCAGACTTCACTACTATGCAATATATCCATGTAACAAAATTGCACTTGTACTGCCTAAATTTATACTACATACATACGTTTACATATACATACATACATATGCACATATACAGGTATATGTATGTGTGTATAAATGTATGTATATATATACACATATATGTAGTATAAATGTATATATGTAGTATAAAAGTATGTGTGTGTGTATATATACACACACAAACAAAAACACACATATATATATATGGTTCTTCCTCACGGATAGAAGATAGGTCAAGGACACTTTGTAAAGTATCTCTGAACAAAAAAAATGTCATGACTTACATGGCAGCAAGAGCCCACTACACTATTATTTAGCCAGTTTAAGCCCTGGATAGAGAGAACTGCAGTAAGATTTCAACATGCTTCTTGACCTTCAGGGTTTTTGACTCTCAGAACTCTTTCCACAAATCTGATGAGTACAAGTCAAGCATTTCTGTTCATGATGACTGAAAGAGAGATATGGCTGCTTGGAAGCAGAGGATTGATGCAAATGACTTCGGCTACAATGTTGCAGACATAGAAATGTTGCAGATATTGAAATCTAAAGCAACAGGTATCATTCTGCAGAAAACATGTTTACCAGCTGGTGCCACTAATCAGTCCTCTCTTACAACTTTTTTGCTTCCAATCCTCTCTAGGGTCTTGCTGGGCAAATAACTGATTGTGCCATGTCTATAATCACTTTTCCAGTTCTCCTCCCAATTACATACTGACCCTTGCTTTCTTCTGCTAATATGCAGTTGTCCTTAACCTCCAATGGATGTGAACAGCTCACTGACTTACAGATGTGCCTCTGTATCAGCATGTCTGCCCGAGATTTCTAACATCTTGCCTGAATCAGTCCTTTCTGCAATCAGGAGCTTAATTCCTATTTTTAAATAATGGCAAGGAAGTGGCTGGTGATAGTGGCAGCAAAGAAAATGGCATTGAAGTGATTTGTTTCCTCATGTCTCTCCAATTGAAAGGGCTCCTCAAGCACAGAAGTCATTTCTTTCTGAGCTTTGTATCCTCAGTGTCTAAGCCAGAATTTGCCCTATTGAAAAGACTCAACAAATATCTGTTGAATAAATGAATGGCACAAGACAAGGGGAAGAAGATTGGCTCTAAAAAGCACAAACATAGGGGATAGTGGAAAGAAAATTCATATTTTTCCTTCACAATGTTATGCGAAATATTACATGAAATACCTTTATGTGAAGAAGCAGGATGTAAACTATGTGTATATTTATCATGGCAGTTTTGTTTTTAAAAAGTATATAATTACAAACATTGGCATGCATGTATATAGAGAAACATAAAGGAAAACATTTCAAGGAAATGCAGCAAAATGTAAACAATCAGAATCCATGGCCAGTGGGATTGTAGAAAATTTTTGTTGTATTCTTTATATTTTTCAGATTTTTTCTAGATGAACCTATAATTTATAATTCAAAAAGTAATGCTTTAAGAAGTCCACCCAAAATTCAATAGAGAAAAGAAGAGAGGGATGTGGAATAAGAAAGTCATTTTATAATTTATTAGAAGATAGGACAAAGACTGTGCCTGTTGGGCCAAAACTACTCCTACAATGGACCTTCTTCATCAGAGCTTTTGCTTCCTGTGATGCAGTTACCCAGGGTCAACTGTGGTCCAAAAATAGGCAAGTACAGTACAATAAGTTTGAGAGAAAAAGACCACATTCACATAACTTTTATTATAGCATATTGTTGTAATTGTTCTATTTTCTTATTATTGTTCTTAATATCTTATTGTAAATTAAACTTTATCATGACTATGTATGTACAGGGGAAAAAAAAAACACAGTATATCTAGGATTCAGTGCTATCTGTGATAGGCATCCACTGGGAGTCCTGGGACAAATTCCCCAAGGATAAGTGCAGACTACTGTACTACCACTCCACTCGTAATACTTGTTGTCATCATCATGATCATCAAATAATGTACAGGACATCAGGGTGAGGCAGAGTAATTCTACTTAGAATATACTTCTGCCACATGGTTTTCTAATAGTTCAAGGCCTGCACCACAATATCAATGGGGATGGAAGAGACTCCTCAAAGAATCACAAGGTGAAGATTTAGGGCGCCCGTAAGTCCAGCCACTACTCTTGCTACATACCCAGATAGAGACTCAGTCTCCCTAAACAAAACTCTACTGTTCCAGGGGCAGAAAGTCACTCTGTGATCCTTGTTCCAAACTCTTGCTCTGTGGAACTCTTTTAAACCTCTCTTTTTTCGAATCTTACACAACACAAAACTGAACAGGAGGATTGCAAGAGTTGTAGAAGCAGGCTTTATGATTACAGAGCAGAGGTTCTCAACAGGAGGCATTTGGTCCCTAGGGGACATTAAGTAATGTCTGAAGACATTTTTGATTGTCACAACTTGGGAGGAGGGCGGGTGCTATAGACATCTGACATGTAGATGATCAACATCCTACTTTGTACAGGATAGCCCTCACAACAGAATTATTTGACCCAAAATGTCAACAATACTTAGGCTGAGAAACTCCATTTTGAATATGAAAGAATGGGTCCAAAATGAGAGTTATTACCACTGTCACCATCAAGAAGGTCCACATCTTGGCAAACGACAATAGAATGGTCAACTCTAGGGACTAACACAGGTATCAGAAAACCATTGCCATCCAACTATGGGTTTCAGAGCTACACCCTGCTTCTTAGATCCACCTTGGCAGGAAAGAGAACTAACTTGATACCACAATTCACGATTGGAGAACGGCAACGGAAAACTCAAGGCTTCCCCTTGGGTGCCTGCAGCAGAAAACGCAGAAGTCAAGACAGCATGCCTACACTTTATTTCCGCATTCAGAACCTTTGTCTAGAGAGCATCTGGTTGGCACAATCTAAATTAAGAGGTGCTGAGAAATGAAAGTTTTGCTTTCACAACCTTGCACTATAAATGGAGGGTAGGATGGCTGTTGACTAAGTTACTTTCCTACACCTGTCAAAATATCATATTATATTTAAACACAGTCAGTGCTCCCCACCAGACTGTTTCTCATTCCTGGATTTGTCATTCCTGGATTCTTACTCTGATTGGTCTCTCCATTGGCTGGCTTTAGTTTTCAGGAGAGTTTCCCCCCAGCAAGAGCTCACAGGCTCTACATTTCCTGATTTATTTCATGTTTGACAATGTTGCTCTGTAACCATTAGAAATAAAAGCAACTCTGGTCATTGGGTGGTGCTCTCTCTCCCTCAAGCACTGCAGACTTTCTGTCTTCTGGCCTTGGATGTCAACATGGAAAAGTCTGAGGCCATCCGGATTTCTTCTCCCAGGTAAATAATTTGCTTTTTCTGCCTGGAAACCTCAAGGATGGGATGTGCTGAATCAGTGTGTGCTCCTGGATCTGCAGATGTGATTTTCTCTTCATTTCAGGGAAATTATTTTGTGTTATATCTCTGAGTGCCCTTTTTTTATTTTTATTTTTTGCTTTGGGAGGAATATCCACCTTAGAGACACCATTTATTATTAAGCTGCTTGTTTTAGTCTTATTTATCTATTAGCATTCTTACTGTTTTAATCTCATCTGGATTCACTGTAATTATGTATAGTCTCCCTTCTATGTCAATAATTAAACGTTCAATGTTTATTCTCTTACTTGATATTTCTACTTACTGATCTGTTTCCTTGAGTCTACAAATCACTCTGTTGTTTTTATAGCTAATACATGAGAAATGCTGGACTCAACAGGACACATCATGAAAAAAGTTGGTATGCTTCCTCCCCATCTCCTCCAACCCGTACTTTGTGTTAATCTTTTTTGTTCTTACATGAAAAGTGAGATAACACCCAAAGCTTCTCTGGTCCCTTTCAAGTCACAAGAACAATCTCATTTCAGTAACTACAAAGTCCACTTTAAAGTATATTACGACTCTAAATTTTAAATTGTTCTCCTTTCCTAGTTCAAATTCACCTCAAGAGGGGAAGTTTTCAGTGAGGGCAGGAGGTGTGGTTGCTTCTTTTTTTGCCCTGTCCCATCCGTCCACACTGTGATGGTTAATATTGGGTGTCAACTTGATTGGATTGAAAGATGCAAAATATTGTTCCTGGGTATGTCTGTAAGGGTGTTGCCAAAGGAGATTAACATTTGAGTCAGTGGACTAGGAGAGGCAGACCCACCCTCAATCTGGGTGGGCACCATATAATCAGCTGTCAGCATGGCTAGGATAAAAAGAGGCCAAGGAACATAGAAAGGCTAGACTGGCTGAGTCTTCTGGACTCCTATCTTTCTCCTGTATTGGATGCTTCCTGCCCTCAAATATCAAACTCCAAGTTCTTCAGCTTTTGTACTTTTGGACCTACATCAGTGGTTTGCCAGAGGCTCTCAGGCCTTTGGCCACAGACTGAAAGCTGCACTTCCCTACTTTTGAGGTTTTGGGACTTGGACTGACTTACTTGCTCCTCAGCTTGTAGATGGCCTATTGTGGGACTTCACCTTGTGATTGTGTGAGTCAATTCTCCTAATAAACTCCCTTTCATATATACATCTATTCTATTAATCCTGTCCCTCTAGAGAACCCTGATTAATACACACAGCTTCTTCACCAGCTCTGTTTCTGAGGCCTGAAGACTCTAATCCAGAAGGAAGTCATGGCTTAGGAGCTGAGCCTTCTGGAGGGTGGCAGGAATACAAATGCAGATTCCTACACGTGGGGGCTCTTCAGTGTTTCCTAGGACACCCTCCCATGGGGGCCTTCTGACCACAGCTCCTATGACACTAGCAACACCTTTGGTATGCTTCCTGCCCCCCGTCTTATCCCTGGAATTCCTACTCTCCAACACTCTCCTGGGTCACTTGCCCCCCACCGGAAGCTCTCTGGGTGGAAACTCTTTCACACTGCCTCTGCAAAACCATACATCTTTCCTTAATATGGAGATAAGCACAGATGGTCCCAACTCGCTATGGCTTGGCTATGATTTTTCAACTTTATAATGGTGTAACTGTACTTTAAGTACCCACAAAACCATTCTGTTTTTCATTTGTAGTACAATATTCAATAAATCACATGCAACAATCAACATTATTATAAAATAGGCTTTGTGCTAAATGATTTTGTCCAACCACAGGCTAATGTAAGTGATCTGAGAACATTTTAGGCTAGGCTCAGCTATGATGTTTGGTAGGTTAGGAATATTAAATGCATTTTCAACTTAGAATAGTTTCAACTTACAATGGGCTTATTAGGATGTAAAGCCAAGAAGCATCTGACGCCAGGCATTGTGGCCCATGCCTATAATCCCAGCACTTTGGGAGGCCAAGGCATGGGGATTACTCGAGCTCAGGAGTTTAAGACCAGCCTGGGAAAAATTGTGAGACTGGATTTCTACAAAAAAATTAAAAATTAGCAAGGTGTGGTGGCATATGCCTTTAGTTCTAGCTACTTGGGCGGCTGAGGTGGGAGGATCACCTGAGTCCAGGAGTTTGAGGCTGATTGCATCACTTCTCTCCAGTCTGGGCAAAAGAGCAAGACTCCATCAAGAAGAAGAGAAGGAGAAGGAGAAGGAGGAGGAAGATGAGTAGAAGAAGGAGGAAAAGGAGGGGAAAAGGGAAGGAGGAGGGGAGGAGGAGGAGGAGAGGAAGAGGAAGAGGGAAGAGAGAAGAAAGAAAAAAATAATCTGTCCGTAGAGTGTCGTCCTCTTTGCTTTACCACCATAGGCCTAAACCAGAACGAATAGGCATTTATCTCCACTAGTGTTTTCCTTGCATCACTTAAAGTTGGGCTTAGGTTGCACACACAGCTCTCCCCTCCTCCATGAGGGAAGGTGTGAAAACAAAGGGATATACCACACCATGCATTTCCTCATATCTTCCTCCCACCTTAATTGCCAGCGGTGGGTATTCTCAGAACCTGGCCAACCAGCTTTGCCATCTCTTAGCATGTATTGCTTTGGTGACTTAGCTTCTCATTTTAGGATAAGAGGGTACAGAGCAACTATCATATTTTAAAATATCATGTGTCACATGCAATACTTGAGACATATTTATACTAAAAAAAGTAGTTGTATTAATGTTCTGTTGTTGCTGTAACATATTACCAGGCTTAAAACAACGCAGATTTCTTACCGCATGGCTCTGTAGTTTAGCCCAACATGAGTATCACAGGACTGAAAGTAACATTTTAATTGACAGGACTTTGATCATTTCTGGAGGCTGGTGGGGTTCCTCAATGTGGGGAACACCATGCCTTCATCGTTACACTGTATGTCAAGGTGCCTTTCCCTCCTCTGGCCAATGAAGGCCAGTCAAACAATTTTGCCCAAGTATTTGAATTTTGAGGGCTGTAATTTAAGGTTGGAATCCACCAGAGTTATTTCACTCATCTGCAAGAACTTGAAATGACTGGTCATTTATTTATACCTTCTAGATCCCTGGCATCGCTGCCTGTGTGAAACCATACGTCTTTTCTTTACATGGAGATGGTCCTGATTTCTGTCCTTTCTGAAGCCTGGATACTTATCTAGTCTCCTGACTCTTTGAGCTATATCTTATCTTCCCAAGAAGCTTTTTGGTTTTTTTGTCTGTTTGTTTTTACCCGAGTTAGCCAGAGTCCATTTCTGTTAGTTTCTACTAAATAATCTTAACCGATACCTAGTGTTAGTGTTAAACAGAAGCAAGGGGCAAAAGGCCTTTGGGCAGTGATTCTGTACTGTCAATTTCATGGGTAAGTTCTGTTGCTATGTTTCTGTGACATATTGGATCCTAAGAATTGCAGATCAATAATACCTTAGTAAAATATAATACTTCATTTTGCCTCACTCAGGGAAGAATTCATTTTGTTTGGGAGAAGTCAATGAAAGAAGGATAACTAATAAAAATTCAGTGTTTCTTTATAGTGATTTAGGTTTTTGCTGAATTTGAAATTTTTATGCCAATACTCCATGGGTCACTGATTTAGACAAATTAAAGACATAAATCATATGAAAGCTGTAATTGCCACAGTTGTTTGGTTTTCACTTTCTATTTATAAAATCTATTTGTTTTGCTCTATTTTATTGCCTCTGCTTTACCTGTTTTTGTTGTTGTGCTAAAATAGTTTCTTCCTTGGAATGTCCACTTATGTACGCCCTGCTCGGAAACAGTGTGGAATCATAGTTTGGGTAAGCCGAGCTTTTCCAGTTTGCCAAACCTAACATCTTTAAAAGGGAGCCAGTTTTTGTGCAGTAACATTCATGTTATTATCAATCCCTGAGGAAGTCCTTTGAGAGATACCTGGGTAAATAAGTTCCTATCCAGTATATTACAATGTAAAATGATTCTTTTAAGGAATTTGTTCTTTAATTAATAATTAATTATAATTAATAATTAATTATAAAGAATAGCTACTTTATTAATTTATAGGACATTTATTATATGCTAGTTGAAGATAACATTAAATTCAGTTTTCACAGCAACCCAATGATTTAGGAATTTATCATTTCAATTGGTAGATAAGGAATCTGAAACTTAGGGACCGCAAACAACATGGTTCCAATTCACACAGAGGCAGAGCTGCAATTTGAAACCAGGTCTGGCTGACTCAAAACTAATTGCTTCCAACAACACTAACATTTTGGCTTTTATCAAATTTCCATTCACCTCCCAATTAATTCAAACTGTGTTTATATTTATTTTTGACAATTTCATCAAAACAAAAGCGTATATTTTCTATGTTATTATAAAGAACTCAGAAATTTCAGTAGGGGGTCGACCCTTAAGATTGGACCATCTATCCAACTTGGGAATGGTTGTTTGGACATTACTGTAGAATCCTTGTTAAATCAGTAAATGAAGGGGAGCACTGAATAATCCCTTTAAAAGCAAACTCCCAGCTTCATCCATGTCCCTACAAAGGACATGAACTCATCATTTTTATGGCTGCATAGTATTCCATGGTGTATATGTGCCACATTTGCTTAATCCAGTCTATCATTGTTGGACATTTGGGTTGGTTCCAAGTCTTTGCTATTGTGCATAAGGATATGCTTTTCAAGGATCTGTGAATTTGAACCATGGTCCCACCCTCTCTTGTAGGTCAGCAATTGCGAGATTTCAATGAGCAGGACTGATCTTTTTCCTGGCTGAGTCATACTCATGGGAAAACAAAAATAAAATTAAATGACAGAATGTGAGATCTGGGAAGAATCTCAATACAGTCCATCCTTTTATTTTCTGTATGGTAATATTAAATATGTACAGTTGATCGTTAAACAATATGGGGTTTAAGGGTGCTGACTCCCTGCACAGTTGAAAATTTGAGTTTAACTTTTGACTACCCAAAAACTTAACTGCTAATAACCTACTGTTGATCAAAAGTCTTACTGATAATGTACAGTCAATTAATACATATTTTGTATATGTATTATATACTGTATTCTTAAAGTAAGCTAGAGAAAAGAAAAAGTTATTAAGAAAATTAAGAGGAAGAGAAAACACATTTATAACACTGCAGTGTATTTTCTCTTCCTCATAATTTTCTTAATTATGATTGACACCATAAGTTTATGTTTTCTGTTTTCAAGGTCAATTGTCTGTCTAAAATGGTGGGCAAACAAAGCTGCAGACCTCAATCAGGTACATATCAAGCAACTCAACGTTTCCTTGTAATGTCATGACTTTTTTTCTGTTTCTTGGGAGCACTTCCAGCATCACTAGATGGGTTCTATGGTGTTATTTGAGGCTTATGGTATTGCACTAAACACCACGAAAAATACATGAGAACTATGAGAGATCACGTTTTACTGCAATATGCAATTTACTGGGGAGGTGAACTGCCCACATAGAGATGATCAGTATCACACAGCGTTTTAAGTGGATACTCGCAACACTTGAGCTCACTACAATAGCAACAGGAGGTGGCTATGAAATGATTACAGTAGAACAGTATGTACTACAGTTAATTTTTGCAGTTAGGCTTTAACACAGGTCTTTAACTTTGTTTACATTTCTCTTGACTGCAAATAGCTCCATATTCAGTCTGTGTTTGTGTGGGTACGTTCTGATACATTTTAACTTTTTATAATAAATTTGTGTATATTTTATGTTAGTAAAGAATAAAATAGACTAGTATCTACACATATTTTATACTCTCATGACATACTTAACTTTTTTCTAATTTTTATTCCTTCTAGTCTATGGGGTTCGGCTGCAAGTTTTTTCAAATTGTTGCAAGGCTCCAAAATATTTTCCAATATAAATACTAAAAAAAATTGCATGTAAGTAGATCCAAGCAGCTCAAACTCGTGTTGTTCAGGGGCCAACTGTACTTAAATATATATTCTTCTTAGCACTTCACGCATATTTGTGTTTCGACCTGTGTCTGCACATTTGTACATATGACATAATGAAGCATTTTACATATGACATAATGAAGCATGGCGGTTAATTGCAGGCTCTGAACTCAACACTTGGGCTCAAATTCAGGCTCTGTCACTTACTACTTGTCTGGCCTTGGAAAAATAAATTTAGCTGCTCTGTGCCTCATTTTCCACATCTGTGAAAAGGATATCATAGCAGAACCAACCTCACAAGGTTTTAGAGGATTAAATACTTTAACATTTGCAAAGCACTTGTAAACATCCTTAACATATACTAAATGCTTGATAATTGCTAGCTATTATTTTTATTTTGTACATACATTTAGGTGTGTTTCTCAAATGTTTAAGAAAACACTTGATACTGAAAGAAAATGCCCTTAAAAAATGACTTCCATGTTTTTACCACAATAAAATAAAATAGAAATTACTCTTCCAAAGGCCGGGCGCGGTGGCTCATGCCTATAATCCCAGCACTTTGGGAGGCAGAGGCGGATGGATCATGAGGTCAGGAGATCGAGACCATCCTGGATAACACGGTGAAACCCCATCTCCACTAAAAATACAAAAAATTAGCCGGGCGTGGTGGCAGGTCCCTGTAGTCCCAACTGCTCAGGAGGCTGAGGCAGGAGAATTGCTTGAACCCAGGAGGCGGAGGTTGCAGTGAGCTGAGATCGCGCCACTGAACTCCAGCCTGGGTGACAGAGCGAGACTCTGTCTAAAAAATAAATATATATATAAAATAATAAAATAAAATAAATTACTCTTCCAAAAGAATTGCTGCGTGCACATTAACCTATTGGGCTAATATATCAGTAAGCTTAGTTTAATTTTTACTATTGTGTAAAAACAGCCTCAAAATCTCATTGACTTGCAACAATTAAGTTTTATTTCTGGATCACACTTCACATCTATCAACTGAAGTTGGGCTAAACATCACCTCATGTGTGCCTGATCTGTGAAAGAGCAGCTCATGTCTGGAGATTTGCTGGCCTAGGGAAAGTCTCATGGTAGAGGGAAAAGGGAGCATTGACTAATCACTCAATGACTCAATGACTTTTAAGGTTTCTACTTGAAAGCAACACATATCATTTCTACTTGTTTTTCACTTGCCAAATCAAGTCACATGATGTAGCCTAACATCAAAGGGTCAGGAATGTATGATCTTCCCATGGAGAGAGGGATGGGAGGGGAGGAGAAGAAAACATTGTGAAGAACAATACTGTTTCTACCATATCTAGCAATAACTATTATTTATTGAACAATTACTATATGCTAAGCTTTGTGCTACATGCTATTAGAATTATTATAATTCATCTTTACAAAATGTCTGTAAGATATATGTTTTTGTTCCTTCTCTATGGATGAGGAAACGTAGACACCAATTGATTTATTCACCTACAATTCTTGCATTAAGCTCAGTGATGAGTATTTCACTTCACTGGAGACACATAACTAGAATCTTTACCCGCACGGAATATTAGTAGGAGAGTCTATTTAACAAATAATTATTTGATCACAATCAGGGTTAAGTGCTCATAGAAGAGGTATAGGATGTCATAAGAATAAATGCAGAGAGAGTTCAAGGAAAGTTTCTCTGAGAAAATGATCTTTCACCTGAAATCTTATTGATGAATAGAAGGTAGCAGGACAAATAAATGCATGAGTGAATTTTATGTGCAAAAGACCTGAGAAGAAAAATGATACCATGCTGATTTTATATCGACACAGTCAAATGGCTGATGAGAATATGTCAGAAGTCACAGCAAAGGAAACAAGGTTTTTTAAGGGAAGTAAAAGAGAAGTCCTATATCCTAGCGGGCACAGTTTCAAATCCTCATTTTCCCACATATCTGTACAATATCAAGCAAGTTAAAAAGCCTCTCACTGCCTCAGTTATCTCAGTTACAAAATGGGAATAGAATGGAGTACTTACCTTAGAATTTTTTGAGTTAATTTTTACAAAATATTTAAAACAGTGCCTAGTACACAGTGATCAGTAAGTTTTTGCTTTCCTTACTATTATTATGAAAGCACACCAAAAAGGAAACACAGTGGAATAGCTTTGGAGCAATCAGTTGTCAAAGTAGTCAATTAGAACAATAAGCCAAAGTGACAGGAACAATCATGCCATTATTCACTCACCCTGACAGTGCAAGTAAGCAGTTCATGAGAGGTGCCAGCCCCACAGTGTGTCACTTTTCCCCACAGAAAAGTGCTGGGCGAGGGTCAAGTGGATGCACTGCAGATGGGGGAATCATCACATTGCCAAGGAGCACCTGCCTCTTTATGAGCTCATGTTGGGGGCAGAGTAGGGAGACAAGAGAAGGAAAAAGGTCTAAAAGAGGAGAAAAGGTACAAAATCAAAGTGGAGAAAAATGCCTCAGCCATAGCCCCTGATAAGGAGGTACCAGCCAGGTTGCCTGGGCAAGGAAAGCAGCTGTGCCAAAGAGCATGGCTGGCCCAGTGAGCTTGAGTCCTTGACTGCAGTTCCCTCCTGAAAACTTCAATGCACTGCCTGTGCACCAAGTATGGTGTAGGTTGAGCAGCTTCCCCATGAAGACTTCCAGGCAAAGCCTTGTATGTGATTGCCTATGGTTGGATGTGAAAGACTGCACATTGGATTTTGGGCTTGGAAACGGACTCCTGAACATTCAATCAGAGCTATAAATTTCAGGGGGCTAAACTACTCCCACGAAGTTTCCTAGCTGCTGATCATACTGTTATTGGAGTAAGAATTGCAGCAGGTCATCGGAAAGAGACTTTGCCAGTCTCAGTTATTTTTAAATAACCTTCTGCCTCATCTCAAAGGTTTTGGAGTCTGACTTTCTACCAGGTGGAAGGCAATCCCGGCACCTTGCTGAGTGCCACTCAAGGTGAATGCCCCAGGTGTATCAACCCCCTAGTGTTCTGAGGCTTCGCCCACTCAAAGGCAAATCCTGCAACTTGTTTCAAGAAAGAAACTGAAAAGTCAGTGTTACTGAGATGAGGTTAAATGGTAGCTCAAGAGGAGGCTGGAGAGCAGAAAGGGACCAGATCAAAATATACATGAATCCACCAAGGTTGTATAGCTAAATCCACAGAGAGTCAAAACTCAATGCCATGTGCACCTGGTTCTTCAGCCTTGCTCAGTACACTGAGCTAGGTCAGAAAAAAAAAATCATTTGAAGATGATGATGGTTCAGGAAACTGTTTTATTATTTCCAGGAGAAAGTAGTGATATTAAACATATGTCACTGGCAAAAATAGAGGAAATATTTGCCTGGGATCCTAGAATGAAATGTTGATCTTTTGGTCTTAACAATAGAGGATGAAGCTCACAGGTCTATTGAGCTGGTGGGCAATGACAGTCCAGATGAACGATCTGACTCCAATAGTCTACTACTGCAGATGTGTCTGATGCCCTCTTCAATTCAGCATTTAGCTTTTCCATGCAACTTAATGAGGGGAAAAGTAAATCTGAGTCAATGATACATCTGCTCATAAACTTCCATTTGTTAAATATGAAGCAAAATTCTGACAGCCATAAAACAGGGTGAACAGTTGTGTGTTTGTATTAAAATATCATTGAGATAAGCAATAACCAGCAATCCGAGCAAAGGAACATCTGCGATACTATCGTGCTATTTCTGGCTGAGTCAGCTCATGCTGGGAGAAAACATAGGAAAATGCAGTTATCACTTGTGGTGTTCTTAATTGAGTTAAGAAAGGGCTCTAGGCTTTTTTTTTTTTTCCTTTTTATGTTCCCAGGGTAGGCCCTAGAGATGCAACAGTTGTGATTTAAAAATAAATTTGTAGCGGATGCTGAAAGTTCACCACAAACCACACGCTGTCACCACCTTTAAAATAAAATCCTGTCCTGATAATTCCTAGAAAAAAATATAAGCACTCAAAGCCTTATAATCAATGCATCTGCTTATACTGTTTGCATATTTGAAAGGACTGTTTTGTTTGACATCTGGAAGGAAGGTCGTATACAAAAACATTCGATAATGCTGGTTTTCAGGTTTTTACCATGAGAAAGCTTAACCGATAGGCAAAAGTTCTTCCATAATAGATTCCAATACGGGCTTAGTAATTTATTAATGCATATCTTGGATAAAGATAAAAAAGATGCTCATTACACTGAATTATGTTCTATACAAAATATTGAATTAATGGAATCAAGATAGTATTAATAAAATGTTGCAAGAAGCATTGGAAGTAATTTACTGTTACTCTCTTATTACACAGATGGTAAAAATGTACCCATATTCATGAAATCACATGGCAGGAAGGAGTCATAGGTTATAAAAAGGCCCCAGGACCAGATGGATTCACAGCCGAATTCTACCAGAGGTACAAGGAGGAACTGGTACCATTCCTTCTGAAACTATTCCAATCAATAGAAAAAGAGGGAATCCTCCCTAACTCATTTTATGAGGCCAGCATCATCCTGATACCAAAGCCGGGCAGAGACACAACCAAAAAAGAGAATTTTAGGCCAATATCCTTGATGAACATTGATGCAAAAATCCTCAATAAAATACGGCAAAACGAATCCAGCAGCACATCAAAAAGCTTATCCACCATGATCAAGTGGGCTTCATCCCTGGGATGCAAGGCTGGTTCAATATATGCAAATCAATACATGTAATCCAGCATTTAAACAGAACCAAAGACAAAAACCACATGATTATCTCAATAGACGCAGAAAAGGCCTTTGACAAAAATCAACAACACTTCATGCTAAAAACTCTCAATAAATTATGTATTGATGGGACGTATCTCAAAATAATAAGAGCTATCTATGACAAACCCACAGCCAATATCATACTGAATGGGCAAAAACTGGAAGCATTCCCTTTGAAAACTGGCACAAGACAGGGATGCCCTCTCTCACTATTCCTATTCAACATAATGTTGGAAATTCTGGCCAGGGCAATTAGGCAGGAGAAGGAAATAAAGGGTATTCAATTAGGAAAAGAGGAAGTCAAATTGTCCCTGTTTGCAGACGACATGATTGTATATCTAGAAAACCCCATTGTCTCAGCCCAAAATCTCCTTAAGCTGATAAGCAACTTCAGCAAAGTCTCAGGATACAAAATCAATGTACAAAAATCACAAGCATTCTTATACACCAACAACAGACAAACAGAGAGCCAAATCATGAGTGAACTCCCATTCACAACTGCTTCAAAGAGAATAAAATACCCAGGAATCCACCTTACAAGGGATGTGAAGGACCTCTTCAAGGAGAACTACAAACCACTGCTCAAGGAAATGAAAGAGGATACAAACAAATGGAAAAACATTCCATGCTCATGGTTAGGAAGAATCAATATCATGAAAATAGCCATACTGCCCAAGGTAATTTACAGATTCAATGCCATCCCCATCAAGCTACCAATGACTTTCTTCACAGAATTGGAAAAAACTACTTTAAAGTTCATGTGGAACCAAAAAAGAGCCCACATCGCCAAGTCAATCCTGAGCCAAAAGAACAAAGCCGGAGGCATCACACTACCTGACTTCAAACTATACTACAAGGCTACAGTAACCAAAACAGCATGGTACTGGTACCAAAACAGACATATAGATCAATGGAACAGAACAGAGCCCTCAGAAATAATGCCGCATATCTACAACTATCTGATCTTTGACTAACCTGAGAAAAACAAGCAATGGGGAAAGGATTCCCTATTTAATAAATGGTGCTGGGAAAACTGGCTAGCCATATGTACAAAGCTGAAACTGGATCCCTTCCTTACACCTTATACAAAAATTAATTCAAGATGGATTAAAGACTTAAACGTTAGACCTAAAACCATAAAAACCCTAGAAGAAAACTTAGGCATTACCATTCAGGACATAGGCATGGGCAAGGACTTCATGTCTAAAACACCAAAAGCAATGGCAACAAAAGCCAAAATTGACCATTGGGATCTAATTAAACTAAAGAGCTTCTGCACAGCAAAAGAAACTACCATCAGAGTGAACAGGCAACCTATAAAATGGAAGAAAATTTTCGCAACCTACTCATCTGACAAAGGGCTAATATTCAGAATCTACAGTGAACTCAAACAAATTTACAAGAAAAAAACAAACAACCCCATCAAAAAGTGGGCAAAGGACATGAACAGACACTTCTCAAAAGAAGACATTTATGCAGCCAAAAAACACGTGAAAAAATGCTCATCATCACTGGCCATCAGAGAAATGCAAATCAAAACCATAATGAGATACCATTTCACACCAGTGAGAATGGCAATCATTAAAAAGTCAGGAAACAACAGGTGCTGGAGAGGATGTGGAGAAATAGGAACACTTTTACACTGTTGGTGGGACTGTAAACTAGTTCAACCATTGTGGAAGTCAGTGTGGCGTTTCCTCAGGGATCTCGAACTAGAAATACCATTTGACCCAGCCATCCCATTACTGGGTATACACCCAAAGGACTATAAATCATGCTGCTATAAAGACACATGCAAACGTATGTTTATTGCAGCATTATTCATAATAGCAAAGACTTGGAACCAACCCAAATGTCCAACAATGATAGACTGGATTAAGAAAATGTGGCACATATACACCATAGAATACTATGCAGCCATAAAAAATGATGAGTTCATGTCCTTTTTAGGGACATGGATGAAATTGGAAATCATCATTCTCAGTAAACTATCACAAGAACAAAAAACCAAACACCGCATATTCTCACTCATAGGTGGGAATTGAACAATGAGAACACATGGACACAGGAAGGGGAACATCACACTCTGGGGACTGTTGTGGGGTGGGGGGAGGGGGGAGGGATAGCATTGGGAGATATACCTAATGCTAGATGACAAGTTAGTGGGTGCAGCGCACCAGCATGGCACATGTATACATATGTAACTAACCTGCACATTGTGCACATGTACCCTAAAACTTAAAGTATAATGATAATAAAAAAAATAAAAAATAAAAAAAGGCCCAACATACCTGGATTAAATATTAGATTTTTGGCCTTGAATAAATTAATCATTCTGAGCCTCAGTTTATTTATCTCTAAAAGGGGAAAAACATTAGTCTTATAAAGTTCTTGCATAATATAAATAAGAAAATATGTTTAAACTGCTAGGGCAGAACACTGCTCATCACAGATCCTTAGTAAATGGTTCTTAGTATCTGCTTGATTATAGCTGGAAAAAATAGAATTTAGTTAGCAAGTTCACTACATCAAATTATTTCTGCATATACAGTAAAAGAGAAAACGAAAACCAAAGAATCCTAGATGGTGATACATTTTGTCAAGTTTTTCCAGACCTACCTACTAAGTCCATGAAAAGCATACCAGTATACCCAAGGCAGTCCACAATTTAAATCACAAGTTTTAACCAGAACTTTTTGCCAATCTAAGTGATGCAAAGAACAAGGTAATCTTAACCTTAGGATAGACTGCAAAGAACTAGACACATCAAATGATCCTCCAACTTAACTCTCTAGGCAGTGGAGAGAAACAGGTACTTTTAGCCTCATTCCCAACAACGTGAATTTTGCCAGGTGGTTATCATTTTGGCACAGTCATGCCTTGTGTTTAGGATGCCTGACTCACAAATGTCTTCAGTCTCCCTATACATCTACTGAAAACAAAGAGCCCATAGCCCAAAAGCCATTTATATGGACAAAGTCCAAGTCAGACATGCAGATATGATATGGACTGCATTTTAAAGACAATTGTTTCTGTGTGTGTGCCTCCATTCAGCATGAAGATCCCTTTGAAAATCACCTTCAAACAGGAAAATACAAAATAAACAGCTGGTGACTCGAAATAGAAATTTAAGTAGTGCAATCTCTAGTCATCAGCTTAAATTAGTGTTATTTAATAATATCACCTATAACTTTGTACAGTGCCTTTTATCCATACTTTATTAATCTGACAGCACATTAAAAGTATAAAATATTAAATAATCATCAGAAATACCGAAAGTTTAGAGGGGTTGTTTTACTTCTAGTACATGGTTCCTATTTAAATATAAACTACCTAATACAAATGTGTAATAAATGTATGCATTTCTCCCAAATGCTCAGCCTCTTTGCAAACAAATTGACCTTCATGACAGCTCTATAAAATGGGAATAGACTGGCAATTTACATTCATTTTCCATATAGTATACTATGAGAATAATTACTTTCCAGTGCGATGTTTGTTGGTGCACAATGGAATTGGTGCCCCCTAAGGGTGTACAGCATGACAGTCCTGTTTGCTTCTCAGATGAGGCCTTCCTGTTAAATGTGTTTACCAAAATTATTCCAAGACTCTATTGCCTGGGTTTTTTCCTATAAATGCTTGCTTTGAAATGGACAGCATCTGCATTCTTGCTGTGCTTGAATTCTTACAGGTGCTGACTTCAGCCCTTTTGATAATGCATTAGAGACATCTACCAGTCTTCCAAGTTCTAAGAACCATGCACATCAGGGGTCTCCCTGCCCATCCCATAGGAGAATCTCAGAACCAAATGACCTTATCAAACACAGCAACTGAGTATCAAGAGTTGGCTAAAATGAATCATCGGTACATGAAAACCTAAAATACCTTTTAAAATATCACAGGACTCACACTCTAAGTATTGGCACCTCTTAAGGCATTTATACTCAGTTGCAGGTAACTTTATGGTTACATGAAGATTTGGAGTGAGTGACAAAGAAAAAGTCACCAGCATGCATCCTCTATACTTTGGTGGTTTGGTTTTTAAATTTTTACTTTGGATTGTTATCTTTATAAATGCATTGTTTAACATCATACAAGAACCTATTTGTCATCCTTAATTATGGTTTACATTAGAGTTTATATTGATTGGTTTTTGATTAGCCCTGAACTCTTTGTCCAGGGACAAAAAAAAGTAATTTCCATGAGAAATTGTCAGTAGTTACTTTCTGTGCTCTTTAAAATATACTTTTTAACAATGCATGCTGTTATGATGATGGGGGCAACAATCATTTTTAACTACATCTAACCTCAGTTATTGGGTTGTGGGAGTAAAATAATTTAAGGTTTACATGTAATCTAAAATAATTGAGGATCTATAGTTGCCAATTTGCATGAATGTTTTACAAAGTCTAACTGATTCTTCCAATAAAGAATTTTTAGTTTATGTTTTCTGAAAACATTTGAATTTATATTTATACCAAATAAAAAAGTAACATGGACTAACACGCCATTTCTCCACATATGGTTTAGAATCTCCTGCCAGGGCTTATTATAAATCCTAGGCCCCTCTCAAGTTCTCATGAATCAAACCATGTGAAAATTATTATGGTAAGTTAGTGGTTGGTTTTAGTGCTGGAAGATTAGTTGATGTGATTAGGTGAATCAGGAACATCTCATTAATCTGGTGCATGCTACCTGTGGCTTGCTTTATCAGTAGCCTCTTCCCACCTTTAGCATCGAAGGGGTTCATGTGACAGGCTGATGAAGCATGCCGGTCAAGAGTATGGCCATTTGTGTCACATAGACCTAGGTTCAAGCCTAGCAGAACAGTGTCACCTTGGAACACTCTAGGCCTGTTTCCTGATTTGTGAAATGAAATTGTTTACAAAGGGGCTTTTAAGAAATTTATATGAGATAATTGTCTTGATTTTTGAACTAGTCTCAATTTATCTTCCTTAATTTTTCAGGCAGTTTTAGCTTCAAGGTAAACAAACAACAGGCCAAACTACATCTTCTCTGTGACCTAAACCCCCTGTCTTGAAGCATGGTTCTGATGTAGTATTCCTGATAGTTTTCTGCTGGGCACTATCTTAGCCCCCAACTTAGGCTTATGTTTGTATCTAGTACCCTCCTCATCCTCTTATTTATCCACCTATTTATTATAACAGAATTACTTCCTGATGCCTAGATCTCACACACAATTCTGCATACCCAAATAATGTTTTTGCAGCACCCTTGTATTGAGAAGTGGACTCACTCCCTGATACTGTGGCCACTACAGAAAAACCCATCAGCAAGTGACAATTTTCCCCATGGCTTTTTAAAAATCATACTTAAAATGAAACTCAAAGTAACTCTAGGGTGAAGGAATAATATAAAAGAAAACAAAACAATAAACAATAAAAAAGCTTGCCTACTTAGAAATCAGGAGAAGTGTTGATCAAGAACAAGGTGCAAAAAGACGGCTGGTCGCGGTGGCTCACGCCCGTAATCCCAGAACTTTGGGAGACCAAGGCGAGTAGCTCACTTGAGGTCTTAAGGTCAGGACTTCGAGGCCAGTCTGGCCAACATGGTGAAACCACATCTCTACCAAAAATACAAAAAGTAACCCTGTGTAGTGGGGGGCACCTGTAATCCCAGCTACTCGGGAGGCTCTGGCGGGAGAATCGCTTGAACCTGGGAGGCAGAGTTGCAGTGAGCCAAGATTGTGCCGTTGCACTCTAGCCTGTGTGACAAGAGCAAAACTCTGTCTCAAAAAATAAAAAAATAAAAAGTGCAAAAAGAACACAAGATCCAGACACTTTCCATTATGGAAGAGAAAATATGGCACATGAAGAAAAATATTCCTGTGTAAATGTTCCATATGCGTACTACTATCTAAAGTTATATACAAAGCATTATTAACGGTAGTTTTCCTAGTGAGGGGAACAATTAACTTCCCATACTGTTTATTACATTTGTAACATTTACAATATTTTACTATTATTTAAGACAAATAGAAAAGTGCTATGGTGAATTGTTCTGCAAAAGTACAAATCCTGGTCTATTTTTAGACCTTTTGCTCCAGGCCTGAAAATATTCTCAGAGTTTCTTAGTTTAGTATTTTGGGGGCATGATTTTGAAGCATTCTGAGACATTATGCTGCATATTAGTTTCTTTAACAATAATATTTGCATATCAAATATTAAATTCTTGAACTTTTTGTTAATGCTTCAAATATTTCAGGATTGTGTTATACTTCCCCTTTTCAAAGGAAACCACTCTTTGCATCTGCTGCAGTTAGAGCAAGAAAGATCCTTCTCTCCAAATTGCCGTTTTTATTTTTTACTGTTGTGTTACAGCACAACCTTCTGTGTACAGCATACAAATGATAGGTGGTAAAGATATTGTGGGTTTGCATGCATAATAAATATGGTTCCATTTGAGTAGTTGGTGAGTATTTCATAATGCAACAGTGGAAAATGAGGCAATTTGAATATTTTGGGAGGCTTCAATATATATTTACTGTGCATGCATATACATATTTACATACAATTTTCAACACTCTTATTTATAAGCAAATAGCCAAACAGACAATTATTTGTATGTGGGCCCATATGACACAGTCAATGGTTTGGAAAATATAGGCTAGTTAACTAACTCATTATTGTAAAATAGAAAATGCAAGTAAGGTATATCAGCTATTTGAAACATAAGCCACTGAAGTTAGAGTAGCTCTCTTGGAATCAAATTTAGGAGCGATGTTTAGATGTAAGTCCTCTCATTTTTGTAATATTTAAGAGAACATGGAAATATGGAACATTTGAAAAAGCCATTTAGAGTAAAATGTGGCTCAATATCTTTCTATAAAATAAGCTGGCAAATCAAAACCAACGTATTCCTTATGATTTTACATTTTCATTTCACAGAATGTTATGTTGGTTGGGCCGCAGCTTCTAACACAGTTAGTCGTTTGAATCACAAATGGTAATACCTGTAGAGAGTGGTAAAATAAACCTAATGAGCTCTTACATTGGTGTCAGAGTCTCTGCGGAAGTCAACTAGTTGATATTACTCAAAAGAAGTAGACAGAGGAGGCAGACACATAGGAACGAGTTGACTTAGAGAGTTAAGGCATCACAGGCACGTGAGGGATGCAACCAGCGCTCCATCAATGCCCATCCTGCTAAAACAGTGCATGAAAATGACTGATCTACGATTTGCATCCTCTTTCAGTCCATCAACTGAACATTATTAAAACCAGTCAGCCAAAACCCATTAGAACAGCACTCACGTATGAAACAATGCCCAGGTCTGCTTGTTCTCCATTTTTATGCACTGCTACAGGACTATAAATATTCATCGTAATGTAACTGAAAATTATTGAAGTGAGAAAAAAGAGAAACAGGGAAGCCATTTGCTTCAATTCATAAACAGCATCTGTTGGGAAGTTATTCATAGATTGCTTCAGGGCCTGCTGAGCAGCGAGCCCACGGAAAAGGATGCCATTGCAAGCAAATTGGCGCAAACTGTATAGAGATGCCATTAGACATGATTCACTGACAGCCAGGGAGAATGATCAGGCACTGGGTTGTTTTACGTGTTCTTTTATCACTGGGACACAGAACTACCCTCCAGCCAAAGTCTCACACAGTTCATATTAGACGAGCAACCTTCTAAGCATATTAAGGCCTAACTAGTGGCTAGGGAGAGTTAGGGAAACCGCCACACTCCAGGTGATAGAACTTGTTCATCTGCCCACACCTTAGGCACGCTTCAAATCCTGCCTGCACAACCTGGCAGATGTGACTGTCCCTGGTAATACATTGTCCATCAAAAATTAACAGTTAAAGAAAAAACTTTTGAGGAGGTTGAAGCTAAATCAGCGGTGCATTAGCCCTGAACAGAGGGAATGTGAATACTCACCACTTACCAAAGCAATGTGAAGAAGAAAAATTGGCAGGGAACTCTTTCCAATCTGGCATTGTGGTGAAGTCGTATTTCATCAAAAACTAGATTTATGGCTTCCTAGTCAAAGCCCCAAATTCAGTTCAAAAAAATAAATAAATACAGCAAGAGCTTTCAAATGTGAAGTGATCATGAATAAAATAGATGGGTTGATTTAGTAACTGTTTATACGGATATATTGATTTATGTGTTTGTGGTTAAAAGGCATCTTCGAGACTGAAAAAGAAAATATTTATCTCAGATTTTGGGTAGTTTTTTTTTGGCAATGTGAGTGTAGTCTGTTTCAGACTGAACCCACTGATCGATCTTGATATCACTAAAAGATGAACAACCAGGCACAATGTGTCTCCTAATATGAGGAAATAAGAAAGTTTTACGCTTCCCTATGAAGGACCCTTGTTCATGCAGACACACCCCCCCCCCCCCCCACACACACACACACACACACACACACAAGAAACAGAGAGAGAGAGAGAGAACCTAAATTGGATCGAGCCTTTAGATCTAATTACCCCTATATAGAAAAAAACAGGGGACAGGAGAACACATTAACACCATGGAAGTACCATCAGCAAATTTCAGTGAAAACCACAAGATAAGTGACCTTGTTTTCCCAACAAACAAATTGCAAAGAAAATAAAAGTGGTGGGGAAGGGAAGAAGAAGCTTACAGATTTAAAGAGAATTAAGAGATATATCAATTAAAGGCAGTGTATTGACTTTGCTTGGCTCCTGATTTGAATAAACCAAGTGTGCATTCCTCAAAGGAATAAATAAATAAATAAATATAATACATATATATGGATTCAGAGAAATTTGAACACTGACTAGATACTTATGGTTTTCAGGAATTGTTGTTAATATATTTGATACAGTAATTGTATTACATTTTTAAAGAGTCCTTATCTTTTAGAGACACATATTGAGATACAGGCTTCAAAATAATCCAGCTGGGGATGGAAGGAGCAGGTAAGGTACAGAGAAAGGAATTTTACTTGGTTTGACAATTACTGAAGCTAGGTAATGGGAATATGGGGATCTGTTAGACAGTTCTCTTTACTCTTTGAAGTCTCCCATAATCAGTTTTTATTACTTCATAGTTAACCTATTCAGTGTTTTGCTGGAGTTGGCTCACACTGGCTCAAAGAACTGACTGTCAAACTTTAAGAAATTTTATGAGCCTGTTGTTAAAGCACTGACAGCTTCAAATCAGCCATGGCAGTGTATTTATATCATGAAAATCAAGGTTGCCTTTTTTTTTCTGAAGAATTGATTGTTAAACATGAACTAGCACACCATTGATTCTACCCCCGATGCCAAATGCAAAGAACTACACACACACACACACACACACACACACACACTCTCTCTCTCTCTCTCTCTCTCTTAGGAAAAACAGAATTAGGAAAACCTCATCGGTAGCAGAAAGGGCTGAATTTTCAGCTTAGTTTCCTCTACTCTCCCTCCCTATCACCACGTATTGTTAAGTTGCCTCAGATCCCAAGCTGGGGCAATGCATGGACCCATATCCAATCATTCCTTCCTATAGCAAGTCCTTACTGTTTTTCCTCCTATCAAAATGTATCCAGCCTATGGTCCTTTTCCAACAGGAAATACTTTGACATAGACCTGTCCTCAAATGATCAGATTAACTGATTCTTGCCTAGGTGTGAAGAAGCCTAAATCCTTCTGAAATAATTTTCTTTGAAAGTTTCTGGGCTTTTGGAAGTCTTCATATTCCTGGGTAGCTCTGTATCACTAAAGCTCCTTCATACTTATTGTTGCATTTACTTATTTTTTTATTCTTGATAATTACTAAGTGACTATGTATTTCATACAAGTTAAATTCTCACTAGCACATTGCCTTAACGCCTTCTATCAAAAATATAAGCTAACAAGGGGGCTAAAATGATCCTTCTCTGGCAAGTAAGGACATTAAAAAAGTAGAGAAATTAAGTGTCTTATCTGAGGCCACTGGGCTAGTTAGGGACAAACCCAAGACCAAAGCCTAAAAATATTTTCTATCCTATTCTAAAATTCTTTCTACCAGCCACCAGTACATTGCTTGCATAAACATATGGCAGGTTTGTATAAATAAGTGGACCACAAAGGAAAGAAATTTCAAAGGCATTTTTTCCTTTCCCACATGCATTGGTAGGGAGGCCACTAGCAAGATAAGTCCAATTCATAAGCATTTATTAAGTGCCTACATAATAAATGCAGCACCTACTAGATGCTATCAGGAAATAAAAACATCCTAGATTTTATTTATTTGTTTGTTTGTTTATTTTTTTTGAGACAGAGTCTTACTCTGTCATCCAAGCTGGAGTGGAGTGTCATGATCTCAGCTCACTGCAACCTCTGCCTCCCGTGTTCAAGCAATTCTCTGCCTCAGCCTGCCGAGTAGCTGGGATTACAGGTGACAGCCACCGTGACCGGCTAATTTGTGGATTTTTAGTAAAGATGCGGTTTCACCATTTTGGCCAGGCTTGTCTTGAACTCCCGACCTCCGGTCATCTGCCCACCTAGGCCTCCCAAAGTGCTGGGGTTACAGGTGTGAACCACCGCACCCAGCCCCATCCTAGACTTTAAAAGAAGAGAGATACTGGCTCCCTTAATTTGTAGTTATCCTAGATTGCCAAAAGGGTGTGTTTTGTTTGAAATACTGTGATTTGCAAAATTATGTGGTTGTCATTCCTACTTTCTTCATGCATTCCAACAGAAGTCATGCCAAACGTATCCAGGAACTGTTTAGAAGGCGGAGGCTGTTGTCCCATAAACATCTAAATTTTCTGCATTTGCATCCTTCTCAAACTAGATGAGTAGGACAAACAATCCCATCAGCACTCATGGTTTCCTTCTGCTTCTCTATGACAATTAATTCTACCTCTTGCAACTGAGAAAATGGCCAGTTGTGGGGGAAAGATGTGATCTCCACGCTAACACTAAATAAAATGGATGTATTCTGTCCCTGTGTGCTCTTGGCAGAAATTTGAGTAGAAATTCAGTGCTCCTAATTGCTCATTAATTCCACTATCTTTTTTTGTTTGTGTATTCCTGTATTTTACTATTGACCACCTGCTACCTGTCAAGGACTATGATAAGCACATGGGATATGACTGGGAAAGACTCTGACCCTAAGGAGCTCACAGGTAAGTGAAAGGGAGACTTATAAGTAAAGATGCAAGTATATAAGAGTATGCAAATTACTATAATGGGGCTAAATACCAAAGTGCTCAACGGGAACACAGAGAAGCACTTACTTACTACAGGTGAGGGTCTGTAGCCTCGGGTGAAAAGAAATATTCTTAGAGGCTGAGACATATAGGTAAAACCTGAAACGCAATGGGAAATTTTTCCAGTGAAATCATTAAACAGGGAGTATACACTGCAGATCCTGGAAACACCATATATGCTGATGTTGGGAAGATCCCACCTTCAGGTGTTTTGATTCTGTAAGTTTCAAGTGAAGCCCAGGAAAGTATATTTTTAGCAAGCATCCCCAAGAGATTCCGTGCAAGTGATTAAATACTTCAAGAAGATTGATGGCAATATGATTGTGGTTTCAACTAGTTCAGAATGCGATCATCCTGGAAAATTTGTCTCAGGCATCCATGAAGCAGCTTCTTTGGCACCATTTATATTACCAACTTAAGGCATGTTATATCTGTTGTTTGTAAGCTTCGGAGGCTAGGAATGTAGTTCAGGAGGTGGGCCAGATATCTACCAAGGTGGAAAGAAGTGCAGGAGGGTGGAATGCTTGAGGAATATACCACAAGGTGTACAGTATGAAAGGAGGGCTCCCCGGGCTGTAAGATGCTGAACCAGAACCTGAAGACAGGGTGGAACATGTAAGGGAGGGTACAAGCATTTCAGGTAATTGAGATTTGTAGTTTCAAGGTCTGGACTGAATGTGGGTTTGGCTCCTTCCTAGCTGTGACATTCAGCAGGCTGTGTGACTTCTCTTTGCATCAGTTTCTTCATATGTAAAATGGAAATAATAATTTCAGCTTGGTAAGACTATTGTGAAAAGCATATAAAGTGATTCATCAAGTAAAGTACTTAAGGGACCTGGTACATAGTAAGTGCTCACTCAATATTTATTGAATAAAAAATTAAAACGTTAGCATTACTTTGCTCTATTGGGGGGTCCCAGTCTTGCTACAACCTCAACAAATATTTTTGGAAGTGATGGCTCAATATGCCATCTCGAAAAAGCATGTGTGTTATCAAAGAACCATTGCTCTCAGCTGCAAGGGACAAGAAACCATTTTGTTCCAGTTCTTTATTTTGCAGTGGGCAGAGTACAGTGAAAGGAGCAGAGATTTTGAAATTAGATGTATCTAGAATTCTGTATAACCTTGAATATGTTTTACAAACTCTCCCAGGCTTGTTTTCTTCATAATACAACGTGTATAACTCTCAGAACTGTTAAGAGACCTTATTAATGCATTCACTCAAAAAATATGAATTAAGCATTTACAGTGTGTGAGAAACTGTTCCAGGATCTGAGGATCAGCAGTGAACAAAATAAATGAGCGATCCCTGCCCTCATCTAGCTGACATAGACAAGAAAAGGTAGGTGTATTATTTCCCTAGGGCTCTGCAACAAATTACTACTAACTGGGTGGCTTAAAACAACAGAGATTTATCTTCTGGTGGCTAGAAGTCTGAAATCAATGTGTCCACAGAGCCACACTCCCTCTAAAGGCTCTGGGGAAGGATCCTTCATTGCCTCTCCTAGCTTCAGGTGGTTGCCAGCAATCCTGAGTATTCATTGGTTTATAGACACCTCACTCAATCTATTCCTCCATTGTCATGTGGCACTCTCCCAGGGCGTCTGTGTGTCCAAATCTTCCTCATCTTATAAAGACACTAGTGGTTGGATTTAGGGCACACCCTAATCAAGTATCATCTTAAATTGACTACATCGGAGAAGACTACTTCCAAATAAGGTCACATTTACAGATACCAAGGGTCAGGATTTTAAAACATGTTTTGAAGGAGACACCATTCCACCCACAACAGGAGGTAATGAACAACCCGATTAGGTAATGTCTGATAGGAAGATCCTGGCTTTCAGAAGGCCCTCAGTAATGATAGGTAACACAGGTAACATATCTTGCTCACTGTTTACATATAAGGCCATAGATATGTCTTGCTCACCAAAGATCACAAACCCATTATATTGGAAACTAAAATTCTGGTCAAATAACTTTCCACAGAAGGAAGGCTCTTTCCAAACACTAATGTCTCCCCAAATACGTTATTCATAGGCCTTAATGCTCCTAAGAAATTGGAAGGAATTAAGTGGATAATCTTTACCTTTAATGAGTATGTATTAATTTGTTGGAGGAACTATTACAAACACAATAAACTCATGATTTTACAGATAACACTTATGATGTGCTTAATAGAGTTTAAAATTTTTTAATTAGCTATTTATTGTAGATAAATTAATAGAAAAAGTTGAGGGAAGAGTTGGTAAGTGGCTACAGAAAAAATGCTTCAGTGATACTTGAGTAAAGCAAAGTTTTCAGAAATACCATAGTCATACGTGTTATTTCTCTGTTCATCCTGTCAAACAAACTAGCATCCGTGGCTATATGTTTAACATTAATCCAATTTGTAAAATGCAGGTTGGGAAATTCCCCAGTTGGGGCATTGTGCATTGCATTAGGCCATTCTTTCGTTGCTACAAAGAAACAGCTGAGAAAGGGTGATTTATAAGTAAAGAGGTTTAATTGGCTCTCAGTTCTGCAAGCTTTATATGAAGCATGGTGCTGGCATCTGCTTGGCTTCTAAAGAGACCTCAGGAAGCTTACAATTATGGTGGAACGCAAAGTGGGGGCAGGCACTTTACATGGCAAAAATAGGAGCATGAGAAAAAGATAGTGGTGGCAAGAGGTGCGGTACACTTTTAATGGATCAGATCTTGTGTGAACTCAGAGCAAGAGCTCACTTATCACCAAGGAGATGGCCCAAGCCATTCTTGAGGGATCTACTCCCTTGATTCCAATACCTCCCACCAGGCTCCACCTCCAACATTGTTGATTACAATTCAACAGGAGATTTGGATGGAGACGTATATCCAAACTATATCAAGCATGAAGACTATGTTTGCATGTCAGTGACCTGCTAAACTAATGATCATTTCCCTCAAATCCACATCTTTCCATCAAATGGTGCTGGGACAATTGAATATCCACATGCTAATGAATAAAGTTCAACTCCCCATCACACCACATAAAAACTTAACTCATTAATATCTGACAAGGGTATACATCTGACACGTGTGTGTGTGTGTGTGTGTGTGTGTGTGTGTATCTATTATTGCAAGTTATTTCTTCCATTTGGGGGCTTATCTTTTTACTTTCTTGATGGTGTCTTTTGATCTATTTTTTTCTTTGTTGTACTTCCTTCTAAGCATTTGATAGTTTTAGCTCTTACACTTGGGTCTTTAATCCATTTTGTGTTAATTTTTGTATGTGGTATTCTCTCAGTTTTTGCTTAACTTGAAATGTCTTTATTTCTATCTTATTTTTGCAAACAGTTTTGATGGATTTATTGGGTTGCAGTATTTTTCTTTGAATACATTGGCTATATCATCCTACTGTCTCTGACCTTCATGGCTTCTGATGAGAAATCAGTTAATATACTTGTTGATCCCTTGTAAGTGATGAGTCACTTCACTTTTCCTACTTTCAAGATTATCTCTTTGTTCAATTTGATTATAATTTGTCTAGGTATGAATCTCTTTGAGTGTATTCTACATGGAGTTCATCGTGCTTCTTAAATATACAGAGAAATTTTTTTCATCAGCTTTTGAAAATGTCAGCCATTATTTCTTTAAATATTCAATCTACCCCTTTTGTTCTCTTCTCTCCCTCTAGGATTCCCATTATGTGCAGGTTGATACATTTGTGTGCCCCACAAGTCTCTAAAGCTCAGTTCATTTTTCTTCCTTCCTTGTTTCTTCTGTGTCTCAGACTGGATAATCTCCATTTACCTATCTTCAAGTTCAATGATTCTTTCTTTTACCAGTCCAAATTTGCTGTTTAGCCCTTCTAGTGAATTTTTTATTTCAGTTATACTTTCAATTCCAGAATTTCTATTTAGCTTTTAAAAAATATTTTTCATACCTTTCTTGGTAGTCTCTATCTGGTACAAAATTGTTCTCACACTTAAGTTTTATAAACATGTTCCTTTTAGATTTTTAAGACATATTTAAAATAGTCAATTTAAAGTCTTTGACTACTTATTCCAACATTTGGGCTTCCTCAGGGACAGTTTCTATCAATTCATTTTTTCTTAGTATTGGCCATACTTATTTATTTGTGTGTCTCATAATTTTTGTTGGAAACTGGACATTTTACATAAAATAATGTGGAAACTCTGAAAGCCAGAATTTCTCCTCCTCAGGGTTTATTGTTGCTGACTGTTGTCATGTTCTTATTTAGTAACTTTTCTGAACTAATTCTGTAAAAGCAGTACTCTTCATTTTGCTTGGTCAGTGAAATGTTGCTCATTAGCTTAGTGGTTGCTAATAATTGAACAGATGTGTTCTTTAACACATGAAACTGATAGCTGTTCCAGTCTTTGTTGAGTGGCTCTGCATGAATGTTGGGGCATACCTTTAACACGCAGCCAGTCAGTAGACAATTTCACCTTAGTCTTTACTTCTTGCTAGCACAGAACCTCAAGGTCACCCAAAGGTGAGAGCTTAGGACAGTCACAGGTCTTTCCAGAGTATTCACACAGTCCTAGGCCTGTGTGCAGCTTTACACATGTGCATGGCCTTCTAAATTCCTAACAGCATGTTGGAGTCTTCCAAAGCTTTTATAGACTATCATTCTCCAGCTTTTTCTTTTAAGTTTTTTGGTTTAGCCTATTATTTGACCCAACTGTGGTCTATTGCATCAGGCAGCCACAAAGTTAAACATTTGGCTCTAAATGTTTTTGACAGTGTCCCCAAGAAAACAGATTTCTTCACTTGGTGAGATGGAAGTCAGGTCAAATAAAGACAGCTTTGCAAGTGAGGTCTTTCCAGGAAAGACTATTCTGCCAGTAGCCCTTCCAGTGGCTACTGTGTTGCTGGTTTTCACTATGACTGTGGTCTGTTAGTTTTCTTTTCTGTTTTTTTTTGGAGACGGAGTCTCCATCTGTAGACCAGACTGGAGTGCAATGGCATGATCTCAGCTCACTGCAACCTCCACCTCCTGGATCCCAGTGCAAACAATTTTCCTGCCTCAGCCTCCTGAGTAGCTGGGATTACAGGCACATGCCACCATACCCAGCTAACTTTTGTATTTTCAGTAGAGATGGGGTTTCACCATGTTGGCTCTTGAACTCCTTACCTTGTGATCCACTCACCTCGGCCTCCCAAAGTGCTGGGATTACACGCGTGAGCCACTGTGCCCGGCCTGTGGTCTATTAGTTTTCAATGCAACTGTGGAACTGGAGAAAGGGAGATAGAAATAGAGCAAATTAAAATGCAACAATGTTCACTCTTCTTATGAAGATTCACTTGTTTTTTAGAACAAATGTTCCCTAGGTTACTGCAAGCCCTTGGTTAATTTCCAAAGTCTGAGAAAGTTGGTTCTGATCATTTTTGCCAGTTTTTTCATTGTTTTTATGGAGGAGAGAAATTTCAGAGCTCCTTATGTGTCCAGAATTGGT